>NW_003315917.2:779564-959128 GCF_000001405.40 Homo sapiens
TGCATCCTGGAAATTTCAACACCTGGGGACAAAGCACCAAGGTAAAGTTAAAAAAAGTGGAGATATATTTTTCTCTTTTAAAAAAAGAAACATTGTGGGAGAAGAATTCTTTTGAAAAAGAAGAAATGAAAGAGGGACAGCAAGAATGATGAAAGAAGTATTCGAATGTGACACCTGGAAACCTGTTCTTTAAAAGTCTTTGCCTGGCCGCAGTACGCCTCACAAAGTCTTTGTGTAATCTCCAGGGTTAGCAGGCCTCAGATCAAAATTAGAAGCCTAAATGGCAAACTAACCAAATTGGTTTTTTTTTTATAAAGTAAAATCTCTCAATTCACTTTTAAAATAAACTTAATCTGGTTTGAAGTGTCCCTATGACAACCATCTCAATACTGAATTTTAATTATATGATAGGTATGTAGCTAATTACATCAAATAATAGTTAACAGTTAAATCGATCTCTGGCTGTATTTTTATTTTTATTTTTTTGAGAGCTTCTCTCTCTGTCATCCAGGCTGGAGTGCAGTGACATGATCTCGGCTCACTGCAACCTCTGACTTCTGGGTTCAGGCAATTCTCATGCCCCAGCCACCCAAGTAGCTGGGACTACAGGCAGGCACTACCATGCCTGGCTAATTTTTTGTAATTTTTTTGTATTTTTAGTAGAGACAGGATTTTACCATGTTGTCTAGGTTGGTCTTGAACTCCTGGCCTCAAGTGATCCATCTGCCTCAGCCTCCCAAAATGCTGTGATTATAGGCGTGAGCCACTGCGCCTGGCCTCTGGCTGGTATTTTATAAACTTAATAATGAAGAACTGATTCTCTACCGAAAAAAAAATGTATATATACAAAAAAAGAAAATGGTGAGGTATGGTGGTGCATGCCTGTAGTTCCAGCTACTCAGAAGGCTGAGGTTGGAGGATTGCTTGAGCCCAGGAGTTCAAGGCTGCAATGAGCCGTGATCATGCCACTGTACATCAGCCTGGGCAACAGAGCAGGACCCTGTCTCATAAAGAAAAATAACAACAACTACCACAAAATGAAGAATTGGCGAATGTAGTAACTAGATCCAAGTTCATGGTTCTTACAGTTACCACTTCACAAGAAAAAGCCTGTAAGATTTAAAGCTGAGGATCACATGGCTAGTAACACTGAAAGAAGCACTATAGAACAAGGGAGATGAAGTCATTCTGAACATTCAGATTACTTATTTTTAACAAACAACTTAATATCTCTATCTTTTATATACTTTTCAGATTATAAGTGTAATTATGCTTTAGAGATAAAGACAACCATGCAAAATCGTCAAAAACACTTCCTTGTAAAATGAGCCCTTCCTTCAGCTGACAGGGTTGACAGGAGATCCCAGGTGGGGAAAACACACCAAAAAGATTCTTATACTTAGGCTTTGCTCCACTAGGGACATTCACAAACAATCTCCAGGACATATTGGTTTCCTTGGGACTAAGGTATTTGTACAATGTCCATTTATAGGGGGTTAAAGTGCCTGTGATAGTGGTTGAAAGTTTTGACCCACTTTTACAGATTAATCAGCATTGTGGTGGTTACAGAATTTCCAGATAAGGCATGCTTGCTCTTCTCTAGACAAACTCATCCACGGTATCTTAGTAACACTGATTCTGAGATACCTTTAGTATTTTAGGTAGATCCACACAGTGTGATTGCTAATGTTATTTGTACGGATTTAGGAGCCACCGAGTGGCTATCATTGAACTGTCAAATAAATCTCAATACCTAGTTAAAATTCTTTTACAAGTAACTTTTCATAAAGAGGAATAAATGTTTACAGTAAGGGAGTATTTTGTTTACTTGGGCAGCTTTCTATGAAGAGGAGCATTTCTTGCAAAGCAATATGCCTGAGAATTAACTTTAGATTTCATTTCTATTTCACTGGAGTAGATATGTTTAAATTAACTTATAATTTCTTAAGGAGTCAGATAAAACATTAATTTTCTTTTTAATTTCTATACTTGCAGCTAAGAGTCGAAAATGAACCTAAGAGCCCTTCATTCCAAAATCATGCACAATTTCTAGTGCTTGTCTACTATCTACATAAATGTTCTCTCTCTCATATACTCTTCACTTTTTGCCTCAGGCTGGATTGTGAGTTCCAGTTACAAAAATTGATTCAGCAACCCAGGCAGATGGAGTCTTCAGAGATAAGAGAATATCCAAAACAAGGTTAATTTTCTCTATTCTAGGTGAAAACTGTCAACAGATAATGTAAGATCAGAGTTAATTAAAGTTATGCCATTTAAGTCAGTTTTGGACAAGATGAGAGTTTGAATCACTGTCAGCTAAATATGTGGTTGTCCTTCATCCTGGAGGGGAAAAAGAAGGCAGTTTAAGATTTGTGCATTTTTGCTAATGTTATGAGATGTGAATAGCAAAGTAATCTCATCAATAGTAATAGTGTGGGTTGAAATATACTGTGTTACCTTATAGAAATGTTTTCTATCATACACGGGACCAGTTGGATACTGTAAAACTGACAGGGAAAAGAAAGTAAGAGGATTCTACTAATTAAACAGTATCTACAAGATTTCACAACAAAGGGGACACTGTTTGGTAACATTGTCTGGAAGAGTATTTATTTAAGTAGTAAGTAAAGGTTTGGCATAATTAAGTTCATTTAGTGTAAGGGTTGCTACAACGTTTCCTCAATAGTTATAAAAATAAGCTAAGACTGCTCAAATGAAAAGAAATACAGGTTATTCAGTCAGAGCTTGCTGTAGCCAGGGAGTTGGCCACCATCACTTGCAATATGGCAACGAATCAAAGGCAGGCAGGCAGTGAGAAAGCTTTATCATGGGAAAACCAGAAGGCTGCAGGAATGCCCTGGTTGGAAATTATTGTCATGGGGAATCTAAAGGTTGGATAACTAGAAGCAAAACATCCTATTTGATGGGTGAAGCTGCATAATTAGCATTCTCTGGTTGGTTCTAAATTGGAAGCTGGAGGGAAACACTTAGGGAAGCTGGAAGTTACCCACCAATTCCTAAGCATTTGGACCAATCGCTGCAGACTGGTTGCTGCAGAGGTCAGAGTTGATTTTCTGTGTGTGGAACCACCATTGTCTGTTAGTGTATTCAGTCTCTCATAGTATAAAGGCCGAAACTGCTTCAGGATCCAGATAAGAAGCTCTAGAAATTAGAATTTATTAGGGTCATGTAGTCCTTAGTCTGCCTCATGGACATAGTGATTGGTCTAAAGAAGCATTCTTCATTTCTGCTGCCCTAATCATATTATTCCAGCTTCCACAGACTGATTCAATAGGTCCCGAAGCTAAATTAAGAACCAGGATTCTTCAATAATACATTTGAACTGGAAACAAAGAAAGAGTAAGACTCCACTGGAAAATGGGAGACTGTGAAACTAGGAATTGACAGTGACTATCTCTACAGCTGTGACAGACGTCAACCTGAGAGATAAAGCTGAGACCCAGAAGGCAAAGAATGTTACATACACAGAAAGAACATGTAAAATTGGAGCATCTATGTTTCTGCAACACATGAAGTATAACAATACCCCACCTTTCTTGAGATATTGCCTATGAGCCAGTTAATTACCCTCGTTTGTGAAACTGTTTGTCTCCTGCAGCCATTGAATCCTGATTAATACTCATTAAATCTCTATGATGTCATAGTATATATCAGGCACTATGGCTCATATTATTGTTTTCCCCTGATATTTGGTTATTTTCTTTTCAAGGCGCATGGAGACAGACCTCTACCTGCAATGCCCCCCTTGCACTTGGACAGAACCATGTAACTATTTATAAGCTATGACACATGAGCAGACATGACATGACGGGATTGATGGAGCAATGACCTCATCTTTTCTCCTGCCAAATATTATGAAAGAGGACTCAAGTCACTCACCTAAGGGACACTGGCTGAAAGTCAGTAATGAAGCTGAAAGGTCGCTAAATGCTGGCAAGTGAGATGGATTATAGTGTCTAGACTTTTTCCTGAGGTCATTCTATATCCAGCAGATATCTTTCAGTATATAGTCTATTCAAAACAATGTGCTAGTGACTATTGAGTGTGGTTACATTTTTTTTTTTTTTTTTTTTTTGAGATGGAGTCTCACTCTGTCCCCTAGGCTGGAGTGCAGTGGCACAATCTTGGCTCACTGCAACCTCTGCCTCCTGGGTTCAAGCAATTCTCCTGAGTCAGCCTCCTGAGTAGCTGAGACTACAGGCACCCACCATCACGGCCGACTAATTTTTGTATTTTTAGTAGAGATGGGGTTTCACCATATTGGCCAGGCTGGTCTTAAACTCCTGACCTTGTAATCTGCCCACCTTGGCTTCCCAAAGTGCTGGGATTACAGGAGTGAGCCACCAAGCCCAGCCAGTTACATTCTTTAAACAAGGAGTGGACATACCCTGAAACAAGAGATTAGTCAAAGAGATTTTGCTATTCATGGGACCTAAAAGGTGGCTGTACTTCCCTTTACTGCTTTTCCATACACAGCAATGCATGCTGTATGGGTTCTTATAGGTCAGAGCGTGAAAGAGAACCAGGACCTATAAAAGAATACAAGTCTCTAAAATCAGAAAGTTTATTATTTAAAAAAATAGTTATGTGCCAGTCTGCTTATAATTTTATTTTTATGACTGAGAGTGCCTTTCATAAGCACATTCTGGCAAACTATAAAACAAATAAATTGAAATTGAATAAAACCTTTAGACATTAGAAGTGTAGCACCAGATTTAGTACATAACTGCAAAGCTTAAACATGCAATTTTACATCTGCAAGCACATTAAATTGAAAGAAACTTTAACTTAATTTAGATACATTAATTGATACAAACTTTTCTGGTATATAGCACTTCTTGGCGCATTGAGTATTCTTAATCTTTAAGGCACATGAATATAATACCTTAGGAAAGATCTGTTCTCCACACATTTCCTCTATAAAGTGCCAAAAAAAAATAACGAAGAGCCAGTTTGTCTTCCGCATCAGTGTGATTTAGCATACATAAATAAGTATCTTTTCACACAAAATAAAAGGTTCAGAACCCAAAGTGTCTGATTTTTATAGTGCTTTTTCTTTCCTTTTAAAAAGATAGCAAGATGAGGGTAAGAGGTAATTTAAGAGAAGTAATCATCTTCTAACAGCCAGCTTGCAGAAACTAAAACAAATATCAATGATGTAAAAATGTTGTTTTGACACTTTGGTAAATGAAAGTGTGAGATGAGTAAGAATATATTATAGGTGCTTGTATATCAAAGGCCTGTGAAAATGGCTGATTATAAAGGAGAAAGTTAATGATCTCTAATTGTGTTGTAATGTAAATGCAGTATCACCGTAATGAAGAGAACAGATTTGCATGTTAACAAAAGAAATATTAGAGGAGTGAGTGTAGGATGTTTGGGATAATTAATTCCATCCTCCACTCCTACATACATATGCATATACAAACTCAATTCAATTTTAAAGAGAACCCGAAGAACCAAAAATAGACTGAACACACTTGATGTTGTATGGGAGCTTAAATTACTATTTTTGTTGTTCTCTGTGACTATCTCATTTAGTTTCTATTGTGTTTGCAATTTCTTCCAAGGTGATTTTTAATGGATTGAGTAATGCATAAAAATTTGCAGAAGTATGCAGAAAGTTTGTATGCAGGGCCATGTAGAGCTTTTATCCTACAGTAAATCCTAGTAGTTTGCTGGTGCTGTGTGATTTTTTTTGTTTGTTTAGGGTTTGTGTGTGTGTGTGTGTGTGTGTGTGTGTGTGTGTGAAGCTTATTTATTCCATTTCAAGAAAAAGAAAAATAGACAAATTAGAATACCAAAAATAATTTGCAGCCAGTATCAACCAATTTATATTCAAGCTGAAAAATTAAAATAGCTTTCAGAGAATGGTAGAAGCATATTATTTAAAAAACAAACTATGAAGAAATGGACAGAAGCATGTAGACATAGATAACAGAAATTTAAAGTAAAAAGTAGAAAATGAAATTATTCCCTTTTATACCTGAAAGCAAATGATTTCCATGATTCTAAGCCTCTGTAAAAAGCAGCAACAATTTCATCATTTTCCTATTCACTCTTCATATTATCTAAATCAGGATTCTGCAAAATTATTTTCCTTGAATTACTTTTAAAACATACCAGAAATGAATTCACTACTCTAATTATCACAGCAATTCAGGGAATTATTAAAAATCAAATCAAATCAAATGAAACTTCGTAAGTTGTTTACAAAAAAACTTCAGGTTCATTTGCTTTTAATGCAAGACATGGCAATGTATCTCGGCCTGTGGATGTCCTCTCCATGTTAATAGTAAGTGCAAGTTTATGAAAAGACTAGACACCGACACCACCTGGGGAAATCAAAGCTTACTTACCTAAAATGCACAGGAGCCAAGAAGCATGTTTAAGTTCATGGGAGGGTAATGAATGCTGTTCTCTAGAACATGTTTCAAGGAGCTGGACACGTTTCCTTACCAGGGGAGACTCACACTGCAGATCATAATTTCTGAGCAAGTGAGAAGTGAGAGTTCCATTGCACCTGTGGGAAGCTCTATCCTCCAAAGTGTAGCTTTACACACCCAGCTTGAGTCATTCTTCTTTCTGGTGTATCTGGACATACTCCAGGGACTAGCTTATCTGTGCCTGGTGCACTTCATTTATCACGATTAAACAATATACAATTTGACTGAAGGGCACAGTATAGGTCAGTGCATTTATGCATAACAGCAGGACTTATTAATCATCCTCAGCTCCTGCAGGCTAAGAAATCCTGCTTAAAATTTATTTGCATGCTTAGAACTAGAACAGAGCTTCGAAACTAGAATAAGGGTCACTTACTCTGATGTCTCTGGAAGCTCATGAGGTCAGCCCTGAACGCTAAGTTGCACTTCTTGAAACAGTTTTAATGCCCACGGCTATCTCCCAATTCATTCTGAGTTTGAGAAGGGAAAAAAATGAAATGATATTTAGTAGACTCCTATAACAGTTTGGGTAACACCAGCTGTTTTAACAAACAATCCTCAAAGTTAAAGTGGCTGAAAGTTTAAAATGTGTTTCTCATTAATAACATTCAAATAAAGGCATTTCTTGTCTGGGTGGCTTTTACCAGGGAGTAATTCAGGAAACTGGCCTCCAGTATTGTAGCTCCAACTTCCTAGAGGGCTTCAGAGTTCTCCTTTTTCAAATGACACATGTTGAAAGAACTGGAAGAAACATTTATATGTACCACCCTCTAAAAGTGGTACACATTAACCGGGACACAGTTGCATGGAAATATAGCCAAGCTATGTATCCAGAAAGAAGAAAAAACAAGTGTGGTAAAGAGCTATCAGTCTATGCCTCAGCTTTTCAAAATCCAGTCTTACGGCGCACAGATCTAGAGAGAATATGTAGACCTTATATTATGTAAAGGCATTCACAGAACTATTTTTGTTGTTGTTAACATACTTGAGCTTCCCTACGGCAATGTTCTTGTAGGTTTCCCAGACTAATAGCCTTCAAAATGGAGGTGAATATATACATATAAGAAAAAAATAAGTAACTTAAGTCTTCTAATAAGATATGTTTTATAAAAATATGAAGAAGATATAGTAACAGCTCCTTATAGCAGTGTAAGACCTTTCTTTCATCCATCTCCTCACCTATGGTTACTATCCTCACAATCCCATTTCCCTCTATGTACATTTTACTTTATAACATATGTTCTCATACACAAAAAATACAATAAAAAATTTTCCATTATCCAACAGAATTTATAAAGCCTACAAAATTTCTAAATATATCATTTTATATGTAATGAATATGCTTGTTATTTCCCATTAAAAAAAAATGCAGCGGCCGGGTGTGGTGGCTTATGCCTGTAATCTCAACACTTTGGGAGGCCGAAGTGGGTGGATTGCTTGAGCTCAGGAGTTTGGGACCCACCTGGCCAATGTGGCAAAAATCTGTCTCTACTAAAAACCCAAAAATTAGCCAGGAGTGGTGGTGGGCACCTGTAGTCCCAGCTACTCATGAGGCTGAGGTGGGAGGATTGCTTGAGCTCAGAAAGCGGAGTTTGCAGTGAGCCATGGTTTTATCACTGCAGTCCAGCTTGGCGACCACTTGTTCTTTTTTGCTTGTTTCTTTGTCTTTTGCTTTACTTTGCATCATAGAGATACGGGTGAAAATTTCTTTAACCCTTTAAGTGTTTCTACTTTGTCTCATATGCTATACCTCATTTGTTACTTGGAGTATACTCTTGGCCATGCTATTAGAAATGGATGATGTAAAAATGGCGCCCCCTGAAGTCAAGCAATGTGAAACATTTGTAAATTTCTACAACAAATGCCCTAAATTGTAGTCGCTTAATTAAAATAATTATTTTCTATTTACTGTAATAGTCAACAGGTAAGAAATGCAGTCTTGCATGGATGTCCCACTAAAAAATATATGCCATCTTTTAGTCCGTTGATACTTAGCATATTGCCCTCATCTTCATGGACAAAAATTGGCAATTTTTCTGTAAAATCTCTCTTTCATATTACTGATGACAAAATTCTGCACTTTATCTGAGGAAGAAAATGACAAGACTGACATGTGGGACTCACTTCTCACTGTATAATACCATCCTTGGCTCCTGCCCCAGGATAATTTTGATATTTTTAATTATCAAACCAAAACCAATAAGTTATATAAAATATAGGCAAAGTTACATTCACTGGGAGAATTTTAGCACTCTCAAAATAACATATCAGTTCCTATTATCCAGTAAATTCCTACCACGTCCCATGCTCCCGGAAGTGTGTCCGGATTCATGTTTTTCTGATAGGTGAATGCAAAGTCACTAGCCATTGCCATTTGCCAGGGATTCAGAGAGACAGAAGTGTGGAAATTAACATTTAGATGTATGAGAAATATATGCAAGAAACTGAGACTGAGCAGGCAATTTGTAGATTGTATACAGTGTAGCCTAAACATGTTTGCTTCAGTGAATTTGTAATTTCTTGCATGGGGTAAGTCTAAAATTATTTATTGTTTAATTTTTTTCATTAGAAATAAACCCTCTTGGAAGTAATTAAAATGCATATTTCACAAAAAATTAGTGCAATGATGATGACAATCATGTAACTTGCAAAACTTGAGTGTTGTTTTATCACAAACCTTATGAAAACAGATGCATCCTTGCCTTAAAAAGGAGAAGGAAAAAGGAAATGCTCTGGGCACAGCATGAAGCCCAGAAAAAGAATATTTCCAACAGCCCCATGGACATATGGAGAGGATAGAACTTAACAGTGCTCATCATCTCTGGTCATCAGAGAAATGCAAATCAAAACTACAATGAGATAGCATCTCACACCAGTTAGAATGGCGATCATTAAAAAGTCAGGAAACAACAGGTGCTGGAGAGGATGTGGAGAAAGAGGAACACTTTTACACTGTTGGTGGGAGTGTAAACTAGTTCAACCATTGTGGAAGACAGTGTGACGATTCCTCAAGGATCTAGAACTAGAAATACCATTTGACCCAGCCATCCCATTACTGGGTATATACCCAAAGGATTATAAATCATGCTACTATAAAGACACATGCACATATATGTTTATTGAGGCACTATTCACAATAGCAAAGACTTGGAACCAACCCAAATGTCCATCAACGATAGCCTGGATTAAGAAAATCTGGCACATATATACCACGGAATACTATGCAGCCATAAAAAAGGATGAGCTCATGTCCTTTGTAGTGACTTGGATGAAGCTGGAAACCAGCATTCTCAGCAAAATATCACAAGGACAGAAAACCAAACACCGCATGTTCTCACTCACAGGTGGGAATTGAACAATGAGAACACTTGGACACAGGGCGGGGAACATCACACACAGGGGCCTGTCGTAGGGTGGAGGGATGGGGGAGGGATAGCATTAGAGGAAATACCTAATGTAAATGATGAGTTAATGGGTGCAGCAAACCAACACGGCACATATATACATATGTAACAAACCTGCACGTTATGCACATGTACTCTAGAACTTGAAGTGTAAAAACAATAATAATAAAAAACTTCCAGCCCAAACAAAAATAGTATTAGCTACATTCAGAAGACCCCACAGAAAGGGTATAGTTTCCCACAGACACCCTACTAGAAAGCAGCTTCGTGGACAACATTCACCTCACCGTTTCCCAAAGATCATCATCATCACATCCTCTGCCTTAGAACCTATAACAGCGTCATTCATGGGGATGCCTCTCGCCCCTTAAAAAGTACTGAGAAAATTATGAGACAGAGAAGAAAGGGGGAGGGGATACAATTAAACTTTGTTTACAGAAGCCTGGGCTCCTGACTTTGATTTTGCTACTAAAGTAGCCGTGGGGAAATATTTCTTGAAACAATAAAAATGATTGACTTAGGTTTCAAAGTTTTTAACTCACAATAAAGAATTTTTTCTCCTTTCTCTTGCACTGTTTTTCATAATGATGGTATAAAACATATTAAGGTGTTATCACAAACAATTACTTCATGAGATTATATTTGAGTTTGGGGATTTCAAAGTCATTTTATTAAAATTAGCTGTATTGTTACACATTTTGTCTGGAAAGTCTAAGTAATGTCATTAAAAGCCCAGTTTAATTGCTTTGAAAAAGCTTATGCTTGACATGATATTCAGTCTCTTAGATTTCACAATTCATTCTCCATGTATTACTACTATGACTGACTTGTTTGTCTCTTTTTGAGTTCCTTCTAGAATTCAAAAGCATTAAGATTTAAGTGTGGCTGACTGCCACGGTTACTACTTGAGACCGTCATTACTAGACTGAATGAAGAGACGAACATAGAAATGGTAACAAAAAACAAAAGAAACTGTTTTAAGGAAAGGCTAGCATGGGGAAGAAGAGAGCTCCCTGCTTCTAGTGGTCCTCATTCCATCTTTGCATTCAGATTCAACTGGTTCATGGTTCATACTGGGGGAACAAGGTCCATGGTTGGGATCCATGGGTCCCTCCAGTCTCCTGTTCAACGGTCGTACACACCTTGGGAGCACCCACTCGGTTTGTTCATCTTCTGCAAAGACGTAAGTATACCCTCGTCCCCACGTTAGTAAATCTACCAAACAGAATCAAAAGTGTTTTCTTTTTTATTTATTTTTTATTTTTTTTGCTGTAGCCGGGAGGCACGCCATTGCTGAAACATTTGTAACTCAGCTTCTGCCTCTTTGGTTAATTGCCGTGGGGTAAAACTTTCCACTGAGAACAAGAAGCAGGCTCTTTCTGATTAACACACGGCACAGAGAAAGCAAATCGAGGCTTATCCTTCTCGTAAAACAGTATAGCAAAAAGCAGTCCTTAAACCTTCAATTTGCACTGTACAGGTGGGTCCACTAGATGCTATGGGTGGTGATAGATAAATCTCTCTCCTAGTTGCACTTCCAAATCCCTGACCACCTCGCTTCTTCTTATGTGGAGAAGGGTACAATTTACAGGGAAGAAGCGAAAATTGAGCAACATATTCTCCCAGTTCAAAAACCCAAAGATCTTGTGACATTACCACTACCTGAATTTCTCCTTCACAATCAAAATCAACAACTCCTGGGCCTGTAAGTTAAGACAGCTTTTACCAAAATCAATCCCATGTATCTTGTTGGCAAAGATCCCCAAATACCAATGTGAATCTTAGTGAGTTTGTTTCTTTCATTTAATGTAATTGGTTCTCTGGGAGATCTAATCCTGCGTTTCCAGGTGTTCCTGGGGAGAGGGAATCCATGTGCCTCTGGAAACCCACCCCTGAAACGGAGTTGTGGCCTGGACAGGGAACGCCCTCATAGTTTGAGGTGCCCGGGTCCAGGCCCCCTTCTTGCTTCCCAACAGGGGGGTGCCGTTTTGATGAAATTTTGAGTGGTGTTGATTAGCCCAATGATTTCCTTTATTGCATCAAGGGCAAAGTCCGGCATTTTTTTTCTGTTAAGAGGGGGACTATGTTACAAGATCTCTTGTTCACAGAGGTCTGACGGCATTCTCTTTTGAAACGTCCAAGTTTTCTACACTTATGACACTTTCCCACTTTAGGGCTTGACCCTTGGCTTCTTTTAGATCTGTCAGCCACCAAATTTGCTATTGCCTGAGTCAATACTGCAGAGCAATGAAGCTCAGTTCCCACATCTTGACAAGCTCTGAGAAAGCCTCCCAAGTCCTCTGCACATCTCACAGGTGCCAGTGCACGTTTACAATCCATGAAAGCCAAAGCTAAAGTTAGCCTTTCTGTAGCCACCAAAGAAGACGATACAGGGCAATTTTCATTCTCCCTCTTCTGTTCACCATTTTCGATAGGCACTGTAGGTGGGGCAAAAAATTCTAAATAACAAAAAGATGGTACATACCAAAACTCCAAACAAACAAAAAAGAGAAAAGAAATAGCCAAATTCTTCCTCGTTTCCCTGTTTTAAAAACTTCCCATTCTTTGTACCTCTAGGGCACTGACCAGTACCTTTTTAGAGAACTAACCTTATGTCGCTGCCAACAGAGTTGTAATGGGCTTTCTCGTTCATCTAGTTGGTTTTAGTTTTTTTCTGTTCCAGCAGACCTTCCTCGCTCTAGTCCTATAGGACCCTATCTGTCCCTATCTGTCCCTGTCTGTTCCTCCAAATCTCTCCTAGTCTTTGCTAGTCTCTACTTTTGTACCTCTTTAGGACACAGACCAGTACCTCTTCAGGGCACTGACCTTATATTGCTAGTCTTTATCTATTCCTATCTGTCTCTGTCTGTCCCTATGGTACCTGTTAGTTCCTGCAAGTCCCCGTCTTTCCCTACCTATCTCTACTTTTCTCTACTTACTTATCTCTACTTACTTTTCTGTACTTACCTCCACTTATCTCTGTTTATCCCTGCAGGCCTCTTCAGGTCCCTCCAGGTCCTTTCAGGTCTCTGTATGTCCCTGATAGTCTCTGAAATGTCCCTGTTCAGGCACCATTTGTAGTTGACTGTCACTGCTACTACATGAGACCATCACAAGTATGTTGAATTGAGCCTGGAACTCCTAGATGATAAACATTTTTTTATACCAACCTTCAACTTTTTCATTAAAATTAGATTGGGTAGATACTATAAATAGTGTCCCAAGCACTAGTGGAAAGATTCTACCATGTCTTACACTGGTTACTATGAGTTTGGAGTCAGAGGTATAAGGCTTGAAGAAAAAAGCACAATGAAATACAATTTTATCCACCAATCTGACATTTTTAAGTTTTAGGAAAATTGTGTCTTAATTCAAGCTGCTATAACAACAACAAAAACAACATACACTGACTGGTTTAAACAATAGAAATTTACTTCTCGGAGTTCTGGAGGCTGAGAGTCCAAGATAAAGGTGCCAGTCAATGGTTACAGGTAAAACCTCCATTCCTTGTCATGTCCTCATAAAGAGACAGAGAGAGAGACCAGACAGAGAGAGAGAGAGAGAGAGAGAGAAAGAGAGAGAGAGACTCATGACCTAATTATTTCCCAAAGGCCCTGTTTCCAAATATCATCTCAGTGGAATTAGGGTTTTAACATACAAATTTTGGGGGCGACGCAAGTATTTTTAGTCCATACCAAGTTAGATGCAACTTTACCAAAATTATTGTGGGTAATTTGACAAGGTAAGAGAGGTCAGTGAAACGCAAATTATATGATAACTTCTTGGTGCTCAGGCAGTATACCTGCCAGGTTGTCTCCTGGCTAGAGGAATGAAACAAGTAGTATTCAACAAGACTTTGGTAGTGAGTAAAACATGGCATATAAGTTGTTTTTTGTGGGAATGACATAGTCTAAATATTATTTTGATGACATACCTGTGTATTGACCTCTCTTGCATCAAAATGACATAAACATGGAGAAATAATTCTGAAAGTCAGCAGGAACTTGCAACTCACTTCTGGGAGGGGACCACTTAGGGGAACTATGATATTAGACTGTGGCAATGTCGACCTCCACACAGGAGGAAAGAGTAGTCACATACCCTAAATCTTGCGTAACGTGGTGTCTTAAAATTTCAATAAATCTACTGAGTTAAATTAACAGCAAAGCAGAAAAATTTGCCAAAGCTATTTATAGCTCCATTAAAATGGAAGACAAGTTAAGAAAATGTGTGTTCTAAATAATCATGTCAGAAGTTAGTGTTTCCTTCAAATATAATCATAGGCCTAAGAATTTTTATCCAAGATTGATGAAATTTTATTTTACGCAACAATAAATGGAACACAAAGGCTGCACATCATTTTTTTGTCTTCTGTACATATCACTAAAAAAAAAAAAGCATCAAACTAAAACAATGAATATAATATTAAATAGGGATTTGTTAATTGCTAATATTTTTAATATAGAGAAAGAATAATGTTTAATGATTAATTACAAAATTGATGAACTAGAATAGTGAGAAATCAAGGAGAGCTGAAATTTATGGAACTTTATGATAAACTAATAAAGGACAATTTTATTCCTAGCATTTTAATTATTTGCTTTATCATTGCATTTTAAATGCAATTATCAAAAATAAAGGTTATAACTAAGAATTTCAAAAATTCTAATTATAGCAGAATTGGTAACAAAGAATTGAATACAGAGGGTGAATCTTATATTGCTTTATTATTATTAAAACTAAGGAAATATTTAGAATTTTGTGTACTAATTTAGCTACGAAGGAAAAGGAGGGCGTCATCATTTTAAAAATGTTTCCACATTGTCTACAGAAGCCTAGATTATTAAAAAAAAGAGTGGCCTCAGATAGATATCTGATTGGAATACACTACAAAATCTAGTAGTCAACTTGTTAAGATATCTGAAGATTCCATTTAAGACAGATTGTGAAAAAATATACTGGAAGAAATAGATTTTATTTAATATCCTTAAACATAAAACTTTGTTACCTTCTAAAACACTATATTTAGTTTTATTTCTATTTTATAATATTGTATATGATGTGCTTTCTTTTCCAGGTAAAACTAACAAAAGACAATAAAATGTTATTAACTTGAGTTATGGTTAAAGTAGAAGAGCTGTGGATATTACACTACATGAAAAAAAATTCTTCCACAGATATTATTTGTGTATGCATACATCGATAGAGATACACATAGATAGATACAGATACAGATAGATATCGATATAGATATAGACTTGGCTATAGAGACTGTGGGTTTTTTAATACAGCAAGAAAAGAGAAATATTTATTTACACTGGATCAACAAAGGAACTAGGCTATTAACTCAGATTGTAATAGTCTAAAATTTTTCCAAAAATTAGGAAAAATAAAATATTTATATGAATTTTACCTGGAAGTGTTTCAAAATAGTTTGCAAAGAGTGAGAATGAATTTCAACTTGTGAGTAAAGGGTAAAACTGAAATGAAAGTTAAAACAAATAGTTTCCCCCTTTCATTATTAGATCATGATTTATTGAAAACAATCTTGATTGTTAAATATTGATTAAAATTAATGAAGGTGCAGAGTTCCTAAGACCTTGTCATTTGAACGTTATGAATATCTTCACAATGAAAACATTATTCGTGTTATTTATGTGAGCTTATATGTACTTTTCCGCATAAATAATTTGTACTCTTAGTTAGAAACAAATGAACTATGGCTTTTGGTGTGGTTTTGTTTATTTATGAATAAACATTAAGAACTGTGCTTATGAAATTTTCAGGAAATATACTGAATGCTTTAATGTACTCTGTAACATTGCAACATATAATTTCCCCTCTTCCCTCACTTTTTGATGTAGCTATCATTGCTTTGAGTTTTTATTTACTGGTTATTTTAAAGAGCTTAATGGTCTCATTTACTTAAAAGTGGAATAATATTGGACTACTATTTTCTTTTTTTAACCTCTCTAGGTCATTCTACAGTCATTACCTTCCAGCCTATTTGTTTCTGCAGAATCTACGTATGTAATACCTATAAATTTTCTTTTCATATTTGTTCACTCATCCACATCATTAATAAAGTTATTAAGTGAAGACGAACCCAGCAGTAGCACTCCCTTACCACCTTGAAATATTGTGCTGATGTAGAGGTTGTATCTGATTTAATTCTTCAAGGATTATTAATGTATGTGGAACTAGCTTTTCAGCCATGGAAATCTTTAGTACGTATTTAAGAAAAAGTGATTTAATGCTCAGTAGGGAAATGTTGTCCAAAACAGTGCCTGAAAAAAGCAGGTATGTGTCCACATTGGGCACACTGCAGGTGGGGTATATTGTTGAGATAGGAAGGAAAAATAAAATGTGAGAAAAGGCAAGAGACAGAAAACAAAGTGCAGGTCGGGAAGAGACAACTTTAACTTCCACCATTTGTTAATCAATTCTGAAATATTTTCATTTTTACAGCCTAAAATTATGCATGTGTTGGCATTTTTTTAAATGGATGATATTACAGTTTTCATTCAAGCATTGGTATAGAGCCTAACCTTTTGTTATGGATGAGATGTTTAGATTGTTAATCTGGAAAATCTATTTTCCTGTTATTGAAGTCACATATATACATATATGTATATATACTTTTATATATGTGTCTATATATAGTAAAAATGTGTATATTTATTTTAAAAAGTATTTTGGTTCATGTTTTTGTTCTTAATGTTGTCCTACTAAAATTACTTAATCATAAATCTTTCTACTAACAGTAAGGCAGAAACAGAGTAACAAGGGATTTTTTTTTTCTATTAAACTGAAGACAGAGAAGTTTGGTATTTATTTTTACCTAATATAGCAAACTTCAAAAAACAATCTATTTCAATAAAAATATTTTCCCCAGCTACAGAAATAAACAAGGGATAATATATAATCTAAAAATGTAATGGAAGAAAAGGCACAGCATTAAGAGATTGCCTTATTTTCCTTTCTAGCACATCTTGCTCTTAAAATATCCATGAGTCTATAAAGGGTGCTATTTACAAGGATCAGTTTCCCTGTATTTCTGGGTTGAATGATCCTCTACTTTTACTATCCTTTGCTAAACATGACAAAATAAGAAAATAAAAGATAAATATGAGATGAAGACCTCAAATGACATCAATTTCATTGCCTCTAAAAAGTTGTGATGATGAATGTTACCACTACTCAACTGAGTTTATGAAAAGGCAAATATACTTTTAAAAATGTAGGGGTGCTTATACAAAGACTTATGTGTTTACGTTTACTTTTTTTATAAGCTGATTTAATCAAAAGATTTAGTTAGTAATTTATTGACTCAAATACTTTATGCCTTCTATTTCACATTTTTTACAGGTTTATAAGTCTAGATACCTATGTCAATTAGTGAATTTTCTACCAAGAGTTCATGTTTTGTTGCTTAAAGGCAGATAATTTTTTTATTTAAATAATATTAAAAAGAGGAAAATATTTCAAAATACCAAGATTGGGAGGTGTCTGGGAGATTTATATGTATTGCTTTTATTAACTATCTAGCACTGGATTTATAAACCAGCTTATTTTTTTAATTTAAAAGCTCTCTGCCTTGCAATTTAATTCACATGATCTGCATTAACCATGCCATATTCAAAATTTCATTGATAAATTCTATCCAGTAGTCAATATCGAATTGTAAACTGATGTAATGTGCTTTAAAATATGAAGATTTAATCTTTAAAATATGAATATTTGATTGAATAATTACTACCACTAAAATCATGTTTACTTATTAGAATTATCATATAGGAATTGTTTTATAATGTATATGTTAATTGAATGTGATTTCTTGATACTTAGGATATACGTTAAGTATACATAAACAAATTGGAAATAAAGTTCTGATATACTGTTCCATGAAAGTTTCAAATCTTTATATTAAAGATTACCATTTGAGTCAGAGGCAATGATAGGATTTTCTGTACTTTATCCACATGTTTATATATACACATATATATATGTTTTCATATAACCTTTCATAAGGATAGAAAAGAACTATGAATGTTTCTCCATCAGGCATCTTTCAAATACAACATAACAATAACTTCCTTAAGTATTTTATTTAGGCAAAAACTATAAAATGATGGAATGGAAAAAGAATTCTCAATGATCAAACCAAAGCAATTATATTTGATTCTGAATTTTAAAAGATTAGTCCATCAATTTATATTTAGAGGTTAGAAAACACATTCTGAGAGACAGAAAATTATATTACTTTTCTAACTTCCTGGAGAATATTGTGCTTTGTCAAATTTTACATTTATGAGAAGTTTTATATTAAAGCTATAAAATCTATCAGGGTAAGTTAATATGAGTATTTGAAAGTTTCACTGTTAAATTTATATTATCACATATTAAATGAAAGAACTGTTAACTGTGTACTGAATTCAAAAGTTAATATAGCTTCTCTCCTTTTTAAGAAATGGGACACAATATTAAAAAATTAAAGAGTTTTCAAATATTTATACTTAAATTTATATCTAAGGAATTATATATAGAATGCATACCTTTCAAGTAGATACTATTGTTGCTGTTAAGATTATTGTCAACAAAATTTAAATACACAGACTATTAAATAAAGAAATTAAAACAACAAAAAATAACCTCTAGGCCAGGTGTCCTGGTTAACCTGTAATCCCAGCACTTTAGAAGCTTGAGGCAAGAGGATTGCTGGAGACCAATAGTTTGAGACCAGCCTGAGCAGCAAACTGAGACTCTATGTGTATCAAAAAATGTTTTAAAAGTAGCCGGGTACTGAGGCAGGCACTTGTAATCCCAGCTACTTGGGAGGCTGAGGTGGGAGGTATGCTTGGGCCCAGGATTTTGAGGCTGCAGTGAGCTGTGATTGCACCACAGCCCTCCAGCCTGGGAGAGAGAGGAGACCTTGTTTCTAAAAACTAACTAAATAAACAATAATGTAAAAAATCTCTCTTTAGGTGTATGCTTCTCTTTGCCAGTGTTTAAGGGTTAAAAAAATCAATATGAGAGATTAACTAAAGTACCAATTTAGAGTTAAATGAGTGCATTTGCCACTTGAGTGCCGATTGCCTCGCATGACAGACAATATTAAGTGCTGATGACTTTAACTTTCACAAGTTTTATGCGATAGTGGGATAAATTTTTACTTAAAATGTGTTAAACTTCGGTTTAATTGCACTAATTAATGTCTCAATAGATATACTGTTGTATCTACCTCAAAATGCAAACACCAATGAAGTAATTCATCAGAAGACTTGATATGAATAAAGAATGGAACAGTAAAGTTGAAGATAAAAAACATAGAAATTGAATAACAAATACAAGTAAGAAACAAGAAGAGTGATAAATAGCAGAACATGGCATCCAAGAGCTGAAGGACAGCTCTGGATGCCTAACTTGAACGGATTCATGAAAGAGAACAAGGATGATAAATACTTAAAAACAAAATGAATGAGAATTTTCCAAAAGAAGTGAAGGCAATCAAATCGTAAATCCAAGAAACATTTCTAGAGATATAGGGGCTACGTAAACAAACTAAAAAAAAGGTAAAAAATTATATGAAGACAAACATAGTTGTGTTGTATGTATTATATAGTTAAATATACGTTATACACAGGCACGAAGAAAAGAAGTACAGGAAACCTGTCCTCAAGAACTATTTAACTGTATACTGGAAATTTTAACCAGTGTACTAAAGTAAGAAAAATAAACAAAAGGCATACAAATTGGATACGAAGAAATAAAACTCTATTTGATTCGTGGATGGTCTATGCACAGTATTCCATTATGTACAAAATAATTAAAATTATTAGCAGTGAAGCTGCTAGAAATAAATTGTGAGTACAAAATAATTAAAATTATTAAAAGTGAAGCTACTAGAAATAAATTGTGAGTTTTGTAATTTCACACTATGCACTGTAACACTATAATGTTAATATACAGAATTATTTTTTATATATAATTGTTGCAGGAAAAACCCAGACCTGTGTAGAAGAACATCCCTCTGCCAAAGAGATAGTGCTGAAATAACAAAGAAGGACTCAGACAAGTCCAGCTTCATGAGAAGATGAGTTTATTAGGACTTACGTAAAGGGCAGCGGGATAACTCCAGAGATCCGCCTGCTGCCCACCATCTTCCTCTAAGCTGCTTTTAAGCTACTTTTTTCTTTTCTTTTCTCCTTTCCTTTCCTTTCCTTTCCTTTCCTTTCCTTTCCTTTCCTTTCCTTTCCTTTCCTTTCCTTTTCTTTCTTCTTTTCTTTTCTTTTCTTTTCTTTGACGGAGTCTCGCTCTGTCGCCCAGGCTGCAGTGCAGTGGCGGGATCTCGGCTCACTGCAAGCTCCGCCTCCCAGGTTCACGCCATTCTCCTGCCTCAGCCTCCCGAGTAGCTGGGACTATAGGCGCCTTCCACCACGCCCGGCTAATCTTTTGTATTTTTAGTAGAGACGGGGTTTCACCACGTTAGCCAGGATGGTCTTGATTTCCTGACCTCGTGATCCGCCCGCCTTGGCCTCTCAAAGTGCTGGGATTACAGGCATGAGCCACCGCGCCCGGCCAAAGCTACTTTTCTGGCTCTTTGCTTACTACATGTGATGAAACTGTTCTTCTTGGTATGTACCTAGATATGCTCCCGGATGTTTTGGTTTTCAGGGACATCTGCTCCTCGGCTGAGCACCATGAACTTTGCTCACCATCTAGCCTTCAGGACTCAAGCAGTCAACATATGCCCTTAAATTCCCTGGTGGGGGACCCGCTACTTTACAACACTATTAATGAACAATTGGAAATTAGAATTTTTTAAAGTTACATTTAAAGTAGCACAAGAAACATTAAATTCTTAATCTAAAAAAACATGGAGAAAGGGTAACAAAAACTAAAAAAAAACACTGGTAAAAGAAATCAAAGAAGAAGTAAATAAGTAAAGAGCTTGGTAGCCAATATTGACAATAAATTAATTCTGTTCAAACCAATCAAAAAATTCAATACAAAAATTCAATCCAGTTAAAATTCCTAACAGGATATTTGCAACTAACAAACAAGCTCATTCTAAAACTTTCAACAGAGAAGCAAAGGAATTATAATGGAAAAATCATTTTGACAATAAAAAAATTGAAGAATCCACTGATTTATATGTATACTATATACATATATGTAATATACATATGTATATCTGTTGGTGACTTTAACCATATGATTCATAATTTCAAAAACTGGTGAATAGTCAAAAAGTTATATACTGTATCTATTTAATATCACGTTAGGAAGAAAAAGAAACAAATCTGATAACATAACAACATGAATGTGTCTCAGATTTATTATGCTATTTAAAAAGCCAGATTTAAAGGCCTATTCAGGATGCTGTTTGCTCCCTTGTGTATGACATTCTAGAAAATATAAAACCATAGGGACAAAGAACAGCGATTTCCAAAGACTGAGGGCAGCAGAAATACTGATTCAAAAGGCACAAAAGGGAATTTTTCTAGGTGATGGTACTGTTCTATATCTTGAGGATGGTATTTGTTATATAACCATCTATGTTTTCAACACACTGCATACTTAAAAAGATGACTTTTGGCATATATAAATTTTAATTCGATAAACCTGAGTTTTTAAAACAAAGATTTTCTGTAACCAGTAGACTCATAACACTGTCTTCCTGCCATTGACTAAGATGGTTTCAATAGTGGATTCCTCTTGTTCATGCCAGCCAATGTGTCTTTTGTTTAACCAAAACCCTTGAAATATCTTTGCCTCAGGCTTTTATTGAAATTTCCTGTAATTTAAAGACTTCACCCTCCTATTCACAGGAGTTAGTATCTTGAAATGGTAATAACTTGAAAACAGCTATGGTGGGAGGACTTACTCTTTGAAGTGTAACTTACATACATGCAGCATACACCATGTATCAAGACTTTCTTTTTTTCTGGTTTTTTTTTTTTTTTTTTTTTTTGAGATGGCGTCTCACTCTGTTGCCCAGTCTGGAGTGCAGTGGTGTGGTCTCAGCTCGCTGCAACCTCCACCTCCCTGGTTCAAGCGATTCTCCTGCCTCAGCCTCCTGAGTAGCTGTGACTACAGGCACCATGCCACCACGCTGGGCTAATTTGTGTATTTTTTATTAGAGACGGGGTTTCACAATATTGGCCGGGCTGGTCTCGAACTCCTGACCTTGTGATCCACCCGCCTTGGCCTCCCAAAGTGCTGGGATTACAGGCGTGAGCCACCGTGCCCAGCCGACTTTCTTTTCATTTGGATCACTAGTTTACCAACATCACTGCCTTTACCCAACTCTATTAACAATTATTTAACCTAGTTTATCAAGTCACTTGTCAAAATAGAGATTTATATTGTTTATATATTTAATATTTTACAAATCTGTATTTTTGTACTTCACTATCTAATTAAACCTTTGGGGTAACTTTTATGTGTATCCCAAATAGGACAGGACAGTCATTCATTTCTTATAATGTATCAGCTAATTTCAAGGAGACATCGGAATTTTTGTGGAGACATCGGAATCTGAAGAGCAAAGTGATTCAAATTGGGTCACAGATTAAATAATTTTTAAAATGTTTACTTTAAATATCTTAAAAAACTTTAAGGAGAAAATTAATTTTTCTATATTGTTCTTGGCCTTAAAATATACATTAAGCATTAGTTTTCTGGCTTTTGATGTTTTTCATAAAATTAGCTCAAAAAATGCAAAAAGCTTGTATGAATATATAAGGGCCTTTGTAATCATATTGTAATTGCTTGACATAGTTAATTTCTTGATTTCTGACTCTGGCATCTGAGTTTCATAATTGTTATGTAATTACTCTATTTTTTTAAATCATGTTTTTAAATGGAAGTTTCAGTCTCAGATCTTTTCTATTTCATGCAATAAATAATTTTTAGCAGTAAAGAATTATTTGGCAATAAATATTTTTTGAGACGTCATGCTCCAATGATATAATTTAGTCCACTTTCTGCTTGAAAATATGCAAAGAAGAAATCTCTTGTTGGTATTAATTTCAGAAGTCGTCTTTGCACACACAATGATGATCATTCTGTTTTCCTTAGATAATTCATGGTAGTGTAACCCAATAATATAATCTTAGATGTGTAACTTACATACATGCACGTGGCACATGAAGCATGTGGTGTACTGAGATGAAAATAAGCTTGTAAAAGTCATTGGTTACCTAACTGTGGCTTGGTACCTAGCACACCCTACCTGCAACGGTCCCAACAGTTACACTGGCTCTATTTGACTTAGATGATGTAGGGGTGGGTTCAAAATCCCTCTCTTTTTCCTAATTACATACGACTGAGCATCCCTTCCCTTGTCTCAATCTGGGATTTTGAGAGTTTATTATAAGATCGCCAGTGAAAATCCACCCAGGTGGTTCTTCCCTACCCTCTTTAAATGTTCACACCCTAGTGTGAACAAGCTAGAAGTGGATTCTTTGAGGCAGTGACAACAGACCATGTTCAACTTCTACACTCCTTGATGTTTGTGTATTGGAAGAAGGTGTGACAAGATGCCAGGCACCAGAATTTCAGGTTGGTCTTTATGGAATTCTTGAACTCTAGGGCTGCATCCCTCCCTATAATGAGGCAAAGTTGGGGAAGTAGAAAGTTCAATGCAGCCTATGATTTTTACCTCATGGTTTTCTATAACCTAATACATATCACATTAAATTATGTGTTAACTGGTGAGCATTCAAATTAATAGAGCATGCTGTACCAAAATATTGTCATTATTTTGGTTATTGTAAATTATATATGGCCATGATCAGTGCTATAGGGCAAGACTATATCATTTTTTACTTCTAGGCTAAAAGGATTATGTTCCTACACATGAATTATGTAACTTTTTTAAAAAAATAGTGATATTTTTCTATTAGAAGTTAAAGCAATTAGTTCTTTACAACATTGGCTACGTACTCAAATCAACTGATTCCTGGGTTTCCCCTCAATCCAAGTAAATTAGGCAGAGAGCAAAACTAAGGAACAGTATTTTCAAAGCTGACCAGGATTGACAATGACTGGTATTCAAATAGCTGTGAATTTGTGCAAATGTAGCAGAAGATAGCAAAGGGTTCTGGATATGCCAATTATTATTTATTTATTTTTATTATACTTTAAGTTCTAGGGTACATGTGCACAATGTGCAGGTTTGTTACATATGTATACATGTGCCATGTTGGTGTGCTGCAGCCATTAACTCGTCATTTACATTAGGCACATCTCCTAATGCTATCCCTGCCCCCTCCTCCCACCCCACGACAGGCTCTGGTGTGTCGTGTTCCCCACCCTGTGTCCAGGTGTTCTCATTGTTCAATTTGCACCTATGAGTGAGGATATGCGGTGTTTGGTTTTCTGTCCTTGCGATAGT
Organism: Homo sapiens; assembly: GCF_000001405.40. NCBI lineage: Eukaryota > Metazoa > Chordata > Mammalia > Primates > Hominidae > Homo > Homo sapiens. Next base: position 803,837 of record NW_003315917.2, read on the forward strand.
TTGCTCAGAATGATGGTTTCCAGCTTCTAGAACTGGAAAAACCATTTGACCCAGCCATCCCATTACTGGATATATACCCAAAGGATTATAAATCATGCTGCTATAAAGACACATGCACACATATGTTTATTGCGGCACTATTCACAATAGCAAAGACTTGGAACCAACCCAAATGTCCATCCATGATAGACTGGATTAAGAAAATGTGGCACATATACACCATGGGAATACTATGCAGACATAAAAATGTATGAGTTCATGTCCGCTGTAGGGACATGGATGAAGCTGGATATGCCAATTATTATTAAAATAATTTTTGGGTTAAGCTGATTTTTACTTTTCTGAAAGAAAGATCCAAACACAATGCCTATAATAAATCTTAGAAATTGTCTGTCTCCATTGGTGAGATTAGTCAGTATAAACACTAACATATATAAATAAAACTAAACAACAGTTACTCTTTTCCATAATGTTATGCTTTTGTGTTCAATGAAATATTTAATTTAATTACTAAATTTCTAGCATTTCTCTGAAGGATAAAACAAATAAGCAAACAAACAAAGTAACAAGAAAAACCCAAAATAACTTCAATGAATTAACACTGTCTAGTGCTACCTTTCCTATAATTATTGTCACCAAATAAAGTGCCTATTGGACAGAGATGGCTGGTTCACTGCAATCTCCATTGACCCTTTCGCCATCAGTAAAAATGTCCTCTAATGCTTAGCCGGACACATGATCACCAGGAATAAATGCTATATTCCCAATCTTTTCTTAACATAGGGCATGACACATGTGACCAATTTCTGACCTATGTTGTGTAAGGGGAAGTAACGCGTGTAACTTCTGAGAAGCTGACTTACATGCAGGGGGCATGTCCTATCTCTGTGCTTTCTTCCTTCTTGGAAAGGCAGCTCTGATGGCTAGATCTGGGGCAGCCATGGGGCAACATGAGAAGCAGCAGTACTTGGAGGTGCAAAGCAACAAGATAATAGCCATCTGGATTTCTGATGATCATGAAGACATCATATCTGAACTGGGGTGTCTGCATATCCCTGAGAGGCAAAAAATGTCTATATTGTTTCCATGAGTTCTTAGCCTACACTGCACATACGAGTTATCAGAGAACTTTCAAAATTTATCAAATGCCCAGTCCTATTAAGGTATCTGGAAACTTATTCTTGGCCTATAATTTTCCACTGGGTCAACTATAACCCAGGTTTATCTGTCTTCTATATCCAGAGACTGTACCCTGCTCCTATGCAGTCTTGCTCTCTCCATAGCTTCATATGTGCAGCAGAACTCACCCTCTGCCTTCCATAACCAGGAGTGGGGCGCTACCTTCCCTCACCTGACTCCTGTGCTGCAGAAACTTGCTAAGAAACACGGAGCATATGTTTCAGACTCAGAATAAAATTATTTTTACAGTCACCAAGTTTTAGAGATTCTGATTTAGTGTATCTGGGTGTGTCCAGGGTACCAGTGTGCTCCCTTCTCACTCAAATGAAAATTACTGGAACATGATGTTATTTGGTATTCAGTTACACAAAGCTGAGTGTAACTGATTGGTTAATAGTAAAAGTTTTGATTTCAGTAAAATAGTTGAATTATTCTAAACCATAACTTTGTAGCTACATGATTTGGGTGAGATGATTTTTTTTTTTTTTTTGAGAAGGACTCTCGCTCTGTCACCCAGACTAGAGGGCAGTGGTGTGATCTTGGCTCACTGCAACCTCCTCCTCATGGGTTCAAGTGATTCTCCTGCCTCAGCCCCCCGAGTAGCTGGGATTACAGGTGTGCACTACCATGCCGGACCGGTTTTGTACTTTAGTAGAGATGAGGTTTCACCATGTTGGCCAGGCTGGTCTCAAACTCCTGATCTCAGGCGATCCACCTGCTTTGGACCCCCAAAGTGCTGGGATTACATGAGTTAGCCACCACACCCTGCCTGAGGTGATGTTTTTGAGCCACAGTATTCCCATCAGTAAACCGGACATACTAATTGTAATTTCAGGTATTTTTGTGACACATATATTATTGAAATTATTATTATTAAATTACTGACTTTAATAATACATTCTTAAATTAGTTATTATTATAATAACATAATTAATATTGAAAGCAGTTTATAAACTTGCGTGGTGCTAGGGGGCACTACAATGTAAAGGAATTTATGTAATAAAAGTAAAGATGCAACGTTTGATTTTATTTTTCATGTTTTGTAATGCAAAAATTAACTGTCCTTTTATTTAAATTACAGCACATGCAAATTAACTTTTAGGTATATAATTATTCTGAATTATTTCAGAAAACTATTATGGTCTCATCACTGGATTAAAAAATGTAATAATATTCTCGGTTTAAAGAAAATGCACAGGTTTTAAATCCTCTGTGATAAGGGCCCATGAACTTGGAGCTGCTGATTTTTTTTTTTTTAATTTGCAGGGTTTTTACATAACAAATTATCAGAAACCAAAGCACCCAGATATCAGACTATGAATAGAAAACATCTTTCCTGAACAAGTACAGGCTTTATTACTTAATTGTATTTACACTGATGAGTGCACACAAAGAAAAATCAATTTGTGGGAGTTTATTTCATTGGTATTGAAATTGTATCTTCCTTGAAAAACTTGGCACACAGTGCCTAGTTTGTCTCCCAGTTCATTATATTATTATTTTACTATATTCTGTGCTGTTATGTAGTTTTATATGGGCTCACTAGTTGAGTGTTCAAAATTGCTTTTCTAAACTATAGAATATTAACTTCCAGTATTTACCAAAAAAAAGTATTTATTTAAAAAATCACAATAAAAGGGCATAAAATAAATATAAATACTCAACATTTTCAAGGTTCTTGTGGAATCATTCTGAAAGCATTAAAAGGAGAGGCTGGAAATCTGCGTTTATAATATTGGTCATTTCCCTACCTACTTAATAGTAACATTAAAGCTTCCTCAGTATGCTTTCTGAAACAAGTAAAAATGTTCTTTTACCTTAACTTATACTGTGGAAAATCTCAAAGGAATGCTAGAAAACCATTCCAATGTACTCACCCAAACAACACAAAATACCCACACCTTCTCCAATTCAAGCAATCATTTAATTAATCGAAAGAGCTGAGATGCACTCCCTCTCTACCTCATAAGGGCTTCCATCATGAACTTGATTGTGTCCTAAATTCAGTCCTCCAGGAGAAGCTCATCACCCTCCCCATGTCCTGAATGTCAGAATCCAAAGCTGGAAACTGCATCCTACTTAATCTTTATGTTTTTTGAAAAAGTTTATCTTTCTTCCCAGGAATAAAAACATCTATTCTCTGAGGCACATGTAAGCATTTATCCTTCAGTATAATGAACTTTTTTAGTCATATTGTTAATGACAAGCTTACATAAATTTTTTTCTGCTCCCACCTTCAAAGCTCCAAGCCCTGTATTCTTACAGGATGATATTCATAAACTATTCGACCTTAGCTTCCCTCCACTTAAGCCTTTCTTGCTCAGAATCACTCCTTTTATTAGTTATCTGTTGATGCTTAACATATTACCTCCAAAACTTAGTGGATTAAAACAACAAACATTCATTATGCCAACTTCTCTGGGTCAAGAACTATATCAGAATTAGTAAGGCCCTCTAGCTCAAGGACTCTCATAAGGCTGCCATCATTTAAAAGCCTTACTTAGGGAAGATTCACTTCTAAGATTAATCATGTGGCTGGGGGCAGTCCCCAGGTCCTTCCTTGCTGGCTGTGACTGGTGACACTGGCTCCGTGCTATGTGGACTTCTTAATAGGCAGCGCCCAACATAGAAGTCAGCTTCCCTTACAATGAAAGAGAGAGAGAGGATTCCCAAGACAGAAGCCACAGTCTTTGTGCAATCTAATGTTGGAAGTGATATCCATCACTTCTGCCACAGTCTATTTGATAGTGAAGTGAGATAAATTCAACTAGGACAACAGAGTAGAAGATTCCTCAAGGAGTTACCTCTACCAGGGGTACAAGTGACATGGAGCAATTTTAGAGGCTGCTTACCAAACCCATGAAATGTATAATGACAAAACATGATATTCCTCTTAAATGACTAAATAAGCACACCACTCTTTGATCAATCTCCTGTCTGTTCAGTGTGGCAACAATTCCCACTGCAGCTGTTCTCCTGCCTCACTAAGACTTTCAATCCACTGGTGCCTCAGCCTTTGCCTATAGCATTATGATCCTCCTGCGGTCAGTTACTCCCACAAGCAAACTAACAATGGCTCTTCTCAACACTGGCTTTATGTTAGAATTGCCTGAGGAGGTTCCAAAGATACATATGAGTGCCTTGGCCCCAATTGAGATTGGCTGACCCAGTGTCTCTGGGACCTGGCATTCTATTATGATACTAATATGCAGCAATAGTTGGGAATCGATATTGTAGATTCAATTACTGAATATTTTAAAATGTAATTGCCAGTAACATAAAACCAGAATTGACATACTGCTTCCCTTGGGCTAAATACAATCCATCACCTATTTTTTAAATAAATTCTTATTGGAACGCAGCCACATTTTCTTATTGTCCATGGTTGCTTTTGCAGAACATGGGAGAACTGAGTACTTCCTACAGAGACAATATGGCTCACAAAATAAAAATATTTACTATCTGGCCCTTTGCTTAAAAAAAAATTACTGAGTTTTGACCTATCCCCTTTCACATCTTCATTTTTCTCTCTCTCTCTCTCTCTTTCTCTCTCTCGGTTGCTTTTGGTTTTGTCCTTTTTAGAAGCACATTGCAACCTCTTCTCTAGATGAACTCAACTATCTGATTTCTGCATATTTCTCAGTCCATGACTGCTGCTGAAGAATGTCATGCAAGAAAACAAACTGATAATATTTTAAGACGATGATCACCATTGGAAACCGGGTTTTCAATTGTGCCTGACATAACTTTTTCAATCTCTACAATCCTCTAATTTCTGACACTCTCTTCTCCCTTCTCACTTCTCTCTCTCTGCAGATGACTTTGCTACTGCAACACAGAGAAAATATAAGTCTTTACACTCGTAGTCTTTCAACTACCTGGCACTAAATCAATATACCTGTCTCCATTTGCAACTATTATCTTTCTCCCTGATCCTGTCAAGATGATCTTACTCTTTGTTGTAGGCTACTTTCCTCCTCTGACTTCAGAATTAGTTCTCACCTGACATTAAGAGGAAATTTACATTGTTACCAATTTCTCTACTGAAAATCCAACTTTTTATTTCCACGTAGATGCTTCCCATCGTGGTTTCCATGAACTTTATTGTCTCAATGATTGTCATTTTAGATCTATAACTCTTTTTCTGAGCTTTGGGTCTATATAAGCCAAATTTCTGCTCAACGGAGCAACCATATCCCCACTTTAATTGGACAAGTCTCTCCAGAAAATAAATCTCCTATTTCCTGTTGTGTTAAATGAAGAATAATTACTAAGGTATTCAGTAATGATAAAGAATCTGGGAATTTAACTGTTCTTGATATGAAATTTCAAATTACACACTTTTTTTTTGGGGGAAGCCAAACCCACCTCCAGCATTTTATTCCCACACATGATAAGCTTGTCCAAGGTGTGTGTGGTTTGGATGACTTTATATTTTGTTAGCTTTCCTCTTCCCTCTACATATGGACACTATGTTTTGTCAAAAGGAAATGTGTACACTGGATGCTTGTTAAAAATAGCAAGGAAGACTATTCAGGACTATAGCAATGGGGGAATAATATAGCTATAGTAGAGAGAGATTGAACTAAAATTTCTCCCAGCATGGAGCTGGAAATTTATAAGCAAAGAGCTGAGGGAGTGAGTCAGTGGATAGAAACTAATTAGATATTAAGGGTGGCGGGGGGTGGGGTGGCGGGGAGCGGGGTTCTTGCTAAACTGCATTATTGCTAAAGGCATGCCAAAGTGATAAGATATCAAGGGCGAAGTGATTCTCAGTGAACTGGCTTAGCAGGCGTCTTTGTTAAACTGGGCCTGAGAAGAGGGACTGGAGAAGAATGATTAAACTTTGGTCAAGATGGGAATCTGTCAGTTTTGGCCTTCTCTAATCTATGTGGTTACGCTGCTCGAGAGCTTGCTAAGATGTATTCAAGAAGGCTAGTGTATTAGCTTGTTCTCACACTGCTGCTATAAAGAAACACTTGAGATGGGGTAATTTATAAAGCAAAGAAGTTTAATTGGCTCGCAGTTCTGCAGGCTGAACAGGAAGCATAGCAGCATCTGCTTCTGGGGAGGCTAAAGGGAGATTTTACTCATGGCAGAAGGCAAAGTGGAAGCACGAATCTTGCAAGGCAGAAGCAGGACTGAGAGGAAGAGAAAAGGTGCCACACACTTTCACCAACCATATCTCATGAGGATGCTATCATGATACAGCATCAAAGGGGGAAATCTGCCCCCATGATCCAGTCACCTCCCACAAGACCCCACCTCCAACATTGGGGATTACAATTCGGCATGAGATTTGGTAAGGGACACAGATCCAAATCATATCAGCTAGTAATAAAGTGTATTAAGATTTAGGAGTTGATATGGTTTGGCTGTGTCCCCACTCAAAATCTCATGGTGAATTGTAAACCCCATAATCCCCACATGTCAAGGGAGAGACCAGGTGGAGGTATTTGAATCATGGAGGTGGTTTCTCCCAAGCTGTTCTCATGACAGTGAGTGAGTTCTCTCGAGATCTAATGGTTTTACAACTGTTCGGCAAGTTCCTCCTTCCATCCTTCTTTTTCCTGCCATTTTGTGAAGAAAGTGCCTGCCTCCCTTTCACCTTCCACTACGATTGTAAGTTTCCTGAGGCCTCCCCAGTCATAGGGAACTGTGAGTCAATTAAACCTCTTTCTTTAATAAATTACTCAGTCTCAGGTATTTTCATATAGGAATGTGAGAAAGGACTAATACAGGAATCTTCAAGGACATCCCATCCAAATTAAAAGTTGTGTATCACTTGCTTCTTTGACCTCATCTACTGTATTAATTACATTTATATGTATATATACACACACACACATATGCAAACATATATATATATATCAGCTTTACTAAATGGTCTCTATATTCTCAGTTTTATTGTTTCATTAGGAAAAGAAATTGGCTGGGATATTGGTAACAGTATATTTCTGCTTATGCTGTAATACCCAAGTTGAAACATTTGATAGAAATTGATTGATGCTTGTTACCTGATGTTTTAAAATAAGGGCTAAATAGTTATATATCTCAATATTATCGTTATCCTGGATGTGACAGGGTACAGATGTGACAATGCATGTTTTTATAGTGTGTTCTACTGGTGATTCAAATAACTAAGGTATTGCCATTGGCAACATAATTTTTGTAAATATTGAAAGACTCTGGGAAGTTTCTACAATAAAAAGACTTTTTCTCTTCAATTTCCGTAGTGGTTGCATTCTGAAAAATTTAGTTTGTATTAAGCCATTCAAAGTATTTACATGTAAAATATTCATTTCTTGACTAAATAATTACAGATGATCACTTACGTGGCTATCCATTGGGGCATTTGATGGGAATATTTTTTACAATGTAGGATCGCAGGATATCTAGTATTGTTTGTCCTCACATTGGAAATACAATTACTGCCTTCTGATCGTTTTGACAATGGAGACACTCAAGCATTTCTAAACAGAAAAAGCTGGTACAAGCACACTTGAAGCACAATACATCTGAAAGGCACATGAAGAGTTCAATAAAATGTTTAACAACTGAAAAGACTGCAGAAATAAATTTAAGTATTCTGTCTATACTAAAATCCAAATGTAAATTATATTAGAGTTGCAGCTATTTAATACGCTATTTCAGCATTCACATGCTATTTTCATTTTCTATTCAGATGTTTTTTCCACTGCCAGACACTTTCTAACAAGTCCTTCAAACCCTCTTTATAATAACTTATGAAAATATTTGTTACATTATGCTCAATGATTTCCTCAATTAAAATGATATATAAAATAAGAACAAGTGAGAGGAAAAAAACATAGTTTGTGCATCTGTTTTGTGATAAATATAGTAGTTAGATCTATTTTATATAAATTTTCTCATTAAACCCACATCAAACTTTTTCTCCTGTATTTTTTAAATGGAAAATGTGAGGTTGATAGGAGTTAATTAACTCTACTAATAGCTGACGGAAATGAAACTATCATTACTGAGAACTATGGTTGGTTTTTACAATTATTTCATTTTTTGTTGGTTTGTTTTTGTTTTTGTTTTTTGAGATGGAGTTTCGTTCTTGTTGCCCAAGCTGGAGTGCAATGGCGTGATCTCAGCTCACTGCAACCTCTGCCTCTTGGATTCAAGTGATTCTCCTGCCTCAGCCTCCTGAGTAGCTGGGATTACAGGCACGTGCCACCACGCCCAGCTAATTTTGTATTTTTGGTAGAAATGGGGTTTCTCCATGTTTGTCAGGCTGGTCTCGAACTCCCAACCTCAGGTGATCCACCCACCTCCGCCTCCTAACGTGCTGGGATTACGGGTATGAACCAGCATGCCCGGCCAATCTATATCTTTTAAGTGTGAAATGCTTTCAGAAAAATATTTCAACCAAAAGGGAGAAATGTGGAAGTTGTGAGCACCAAAATGGAGTCACTTACATCAAACCATAAAAAAATGAAGCTGGGAGGCCATGAAAGAGGGGCCTTCATGTACATATGTCTATAATAAGAACTGCTGCAATGGTTCTCTCAAAAACCACAAAAATGTTAGATATGATAATTCTATGAAGACATCTCTCCAGCAACAGCCAATATTATCAATGAGTATTTGCCAACTCTTGTAACAAGCTTCTCTGGCCCATGAGGTTTATTACAAAACTTACATAAAATTTCTCTTTTAAGATTTTTGCCTTCCTGATATGGTTTAGATTTGTGTCCCCACCCAAATCTCATGTCGAATTGTAATCCCCAATGTTGGAGGAGGGGCTTGGTGAGAGGCGATTGGATCATGGGGGTGGATTTCCTCCTTGCTGTTCTTGTGATAGTGAGTTCTCATGAGACCTGCTTGTTGAAAAGTGTGTGGTATTTCCCCTTTGCCCTCTTCCCCCTGCTTCGGCCATGTAAGACGTGCCTCCTTCCTTTTTGCCTTCTGCCATCATTGTAAGTTTCCTGAGGCCTCCTCCAATCATGTTTCCTGTACAGCCTATGAAATCATGAGTCAATTAAACCTCTTTTCTTTATAAATTACCAAGTCTCAGGTAGTTCTTTGTGCTAGAACAAACTAATACAGTCCCTCAGCTTCTTTGGTGCCTAAGGTCCACCATAGCATGTGTATTTCAAATTGCAATTTACTGCTATTTCCTGAATACACTCCACTCTTTATTTTAGAGAGTCAGTATCTCTGTTGTTTAAGTTGACATAATCTAATGTCAGAAGCAAGATGCAAAGGCTCCAAGCCTTCTTTGTTACTTACAGTTACAGCACTGTTATCCAAACAGTAACAAAGAAAGCCTTTGGAAGGCTTTCAAGTATCTGGCGATACTTGAAATTGTGTATGATACTCACCTGAGCCTATTGTGATCTTCACTTGTACAAGTTGTCTTTATGCTGCGAGATAAGTCCTCTCTTGGTTTGAGCTCCCACCTTTTCAGTGAACTCTTACATTTTGGGGGATCTGCTCTTGTAAAGGACATCCTTTCTGGTGAGTATTCTTTTGGTTTAATTTTTGGTTTGGTTATTTGTGCATGAATTTAATCTCATTAGGAAACAAGTTAAGTTGAATAGACCAACTAGTGAATTAATCCGTCACCAAAATATATGTTTTTGGCATTTACCTGTTTATTTTGAAACTCTTTGTAAGAAATGTAAACCTGTAATGATAATCTCTGCTTTGTAAGGATATCTCCCTCTCTGACACCTAAAACACTAGATGCTTTCACAAAGCAAAAGGAAGAGACCTAAATCTATCTATCTGTGTAAACTCACCCTTGACCATTTCATTTTGAAGGCTTCCTATATATGCTTTTTTTCATCTCAACAAATAGTGGTGTTTAAGTTCTGTACCTTTGAGATTTAAATTTTCTACATTCCTTCACCTAAAAATCATCTCTTTGGAAGTACAAATTTTGGGTGGCCTAACTAACACTTGTTTATGGGCCAATTGAACAGATCATTAAAAGACAGATAGTCTGAAAGAGGGAGTAAAACTACTTGCAAGCCAGGCAAATAACAATTCTTAATGCAAGTTGTAAGTTCTTCCTCTGTCTGTATTTTTCTACGTGTGTGTGTGTGTGTGCGTATGTACAATTTTTTCTACCAAAATTCATAAACGGCTCTACTTAATTGGCTTACAGAGAAAACATAAGTGTTTAAACTAAGAATTCTCTCAGAAAAACAGAAACTCAATTGCCTTTTGGCTTATGTGATGAAATAATCTTTGGCAGACAAAGCTAGTTTTAAAATTTGTTGGCAAAATAAAAACAAATATTTTCAGAATTGTCAGCATTAATTACAATGTACAGATACAGTTTTTAAACCTAAAGTTACTGGTGAAACAAGCTTGCTATTACTGAGATGTATAATGAATGTCTTAAAGCTATAAATCCACTCATCGTTGTGTTTAAGGAGGAACTGAAGCACAATTGTTAAGAACAAGTGAATTAGGTGAATATACATTGACAAAAGGTTGATAATAAAGTTGTCAGAATTTCAAAAATAATTTAGTGTGACTTGAAATCTTAAAATCATGTTATATTAAATTAAGTAACACTTTACTGATTTAATATTTGAGTCATTTCTAAGGAAAATACTGAAATATCAATTGCTTAACAGAAGTTTAAAATATACGTAATTTGGCATCTTGGTTTCACATGTTATGGAAAAGCTAAACATATTTGGGCCTGTTAATTAAAGGCATAAAAATTATTTTATGAGATGGTGTTCATCTGCAAAATACTAACATGATGCACTTCAAAATGCTTACTAATTTTCACTAGAAATTAAGGTTACTAAGAGTTAATTAAAATTAATATTAGAGTAATTTAAACTAGAAATAATGAAGGGAAACAAATCTGTACATGAGGGAAGAAAAACACATACAGAAAGTTATAAGTAAGAGGTTGTGTTTTTGTTAAGGGAAAAAGAGAGTATTTTTTGTCTAAAAGTAGAATGTCTTACTGTTCCAAAAAGAAAAAGAGAAAAAATATAGACAAAAACTGAATAAGATAACTGGATGACAAATTTATAGAAAGTTTGTGGAAGATTAATCTTGTGAAAAGAATTTTATGTGTGACCAAGTTGGCTAAAGTTAAAAGGAAATTATTTATAAATATTCTGAAAACTTGAGCATTATTATCAAAAGTACAGGAATGGAAAACTTGAAATTTGTCCCCTGTGCTGAAACAACAAGCTTTTCTTTGAGTATTGACCTGCTCTTAATAGAAAATAGTGAAATGTTTTCTCTACCTTTTAGATAACTGGCCTAATAAACCAAGATTTTTTGTTTATCAAGGTAATTTCTTATGCTTTATGCTCTCTTTTACTAGGTCTTTGATTACTTGAGAAAAGTGAGTGAGGTGGGGCCAAGATGGTTGACTAGAAGCAGCTAGTGTGTGCCACTCTCACAAATAGCAGAAAGAGTGGTGAGACACTAGCTCTTCAACCGGAACATCCAGGTGGACACATAAGGATTCATCAGTGACATAGTGTGACCTTCGGATCACGGAGAAGAGTGAGACAGATCAACCATTCACCCAGGAGTGGCACAGACCCAGGGGAATCCCCCTACAAGAAAATGGTGAGTGAGTGAGAGTCCCGTGGGATGCATATTTCTGCCACGAACCTTTGAATCCCTGGGCTCAGGAGATACCCCAGCTGGGGTCTCCAGACCAAAACAGAGAGCCATGTGGAGTCTGGGTAGAGCTGCTTCTTAGGTAGGTGTGGAGTCCCAGTAGCATTTGTTCCCTGGGTACCCCAAAACCAGGGGCTGCAGCTCCAGCAATTGGGAAGGCCAAGTTTTCTTGCACGCTCCCCAGAAAAGGGGCCAAGTCCATGGGGCTGAGCAGTGATAGACTGCAGACCTCACCACCACTGAACCTTGTAGGATAAGGCCCACTAGCCTGGGATGCTAGTGAGGCCACCCTAGTCCTCCTGAGTTCTCCAGCTGGGAGCAGCTCTACACTTCTCCGGCATGCAGCTCCCAAAGAGAGAGGCAGTCCACCTTTTTGCTGTCTCGCAACCCTCCCTCCTGCTGCTCTCAGGCTTGGGAGGGTGCACAGCAATTAGGGACTATCACAGAACCCCAGCACAGTGCATCTGGTGAACTTAAAAAAATCAACAAGTGAAAAACAAACAATCCCATTTAAACGTACACAAAGTACATGAACGGACACTTTCAAAGGAGGGCATACATGTGGCCAGAAAGCATATGACAAAATGCTCAACATCACTAATCATTAGAGAAATGCAAATCAAAACCACAATGAGATACCATCTCACACCAATGAGAATGGCTATTATTAAAAACTCAAAAAATAAGAGATGCTAGTGAGGTTGTGGAGAAAAGGGAATGATTATACAGTGATGGTGGGAATGTAAGGTAGTTCAGCCATTGTGGAAAGCAGTGTGGCCATTTCTCAAAGAACTCAAAGCAGAAGTGCCATTCAACTCATCAATCCTACTATTGAGTATATACCAAAAGAAATACAAATCATTCTACCATAAAGACACATGCACGTGTATGTTCATTGCAGCACTTTTCACAATAGCAAAGACATGGAATCAACCTAAATGCCCATCAGTGGTAGACTGGATGAAGAAATGTGGTAGATATACAACATGGAATACTATGCAGCCATAAAAAGAATGAGATCATCTCTTTTCCAGCAACATGAGTGGAGCTGGAGGCCATTATCCTAGAAAACCCAATACCATATGTTCTCACTTATAAGGGGAGCTAAACATTGAGTACATATGGACACAAATGGAACAACAGACACTGGGCCTACTTTAGAGTGGAGGGAGGAAGGAGGATGAAAATTTAAAAATTACCTACTGGGTACTATGCTTATTATCTGGGTTATGAAATAATCTACACACCAAACCCCGTGACACACAATTTACCCATATAAATGCGTAAGTAACCCACATGTGTACCCCTGAACCTAAAATAAAAGTTAAAAAAAGAGAAAAGTAAATGTTCTCAGTATTAAAAAGCTATGTTTTTGTTGACAATTATGTAAATTTCTACATTTATTTTTTGAAATCTTTTAATTTTCATTTTGGTTACCTGTTATCATACTCTGATAAAGTGTTTTAAACTGTTTGATGTTTTTGACAAACTTCCCAAAATAATATTTTAAATTAACTCTTTTTGCCCTCAAGTTAATTTTGATATTTCTCATTTGGACCCCTGGAAAGATCAAAGAATGTGTATCTCACATTGTAAAGAGATATATTAAACTAATGAGACTTACTTGATATATTAAATTATATAGGGAGTATTGTCAAATACTAAGTGGTGCTAAACCTTCTTTAAGTTGTATTTCAGAATGTTATTGATATGTGTTACAAAATTATATTGAATTCTTCAAAATCTGATATGTTATCGGTCATAATCTTGGTTATTATCTTCAAGTTTTGTATGCCACAGAAATAAACAAATTTCTTTGTCAATTACATTATTATTATAATAAACTCCATGAGATTTTTAACCATGGCCACTCTAAGTCTGTCATCCACAGGGACCGACTGCTTTCATTCTTTTCCAAAAGCATTTGCCATCAGCTACAATAAAAAATTGCTTCTTCTCTGAAACTGATGACCCATTAAGGTTTAACCCATATACTCCTCTATATACCTCTACAGCCTCCCCAAATCAAGTTGATATATTCCCCTAGCAGTCTGTGCAATGGAGACCAACACTACATTCTTTTAGATTGTTTTAAATTACATTTTTGAACTTCCAGTTTATTACATACCAAGAGTTGATTACAACCTCCTTGTTTCATAAGTGGAAGCTATGTTAGGGTTGGATGTGGGTGCCATAATTTCTTCAAGGATCCTGGACAGAGACCCACATCAGGATCAGAAACCCTACGATAGCATTGCAGATCTCATGGCTCACTAATCCTTGAAGATTATAATTTTCATCCTACTATCAGTTGCACTTTCTGTCACTTTTACTGCATTAAGTCTCCCGGTATCAAACAGAGCTCTGTGGTGTCACTGACTGAGGAATGGAATAGAGATGTCCACAAGGGGTCTTGATATCATGACTGCACAGAGATGTGAAAGGAGAGACCACTTCCTCACCACCCAGCTACTTCACTTCTCTCCCGGTATCAGCCCTATAGTCGGACCTAGGCTTTCAGAAGTGTAAGTGTGCAAACAAGTTTCGGTTGGACTTTAAGAGGACACTTTGTCATAGAAGAAAATCCAGTATCTCTAAGCTGGTTTTCTTTTCAGGAAAACATCCTGAGGGACCAGTAAGCAGGGAGATCCTTTTTCTAGTTTGCCTGTAGAGTTAGGAAGACAGTTGATTTTTCAGTCTTTTACAGGATGCTTAAACAAAGCTGTGTAATTACATAAGGTGGATCTTTATCTTGCCTAAGAAGATAAAGTGGGAATCTTCACTCCGCCAGGGCAAATTTCCAAGGAGCTCATTTATTCCATGTCTTTCAAACTTTCATGAGATACATTTCTCTTTCACATTGTTGCTGATTTCCAAACAGCTGTCAGCTAGTTTTTTCCTCCCCCTTTCCTATTCTTCACTATTTTGATAGCAAAGCTCATAGAATTAGAGGACTTAGAAGATGCTTTGTAAACATTGCCACAAAGGAACTGCTGAAATGATTCACAGGAAGACTGGTCAGTTGGGAGAAAGATCCTAAAGATGTTACACTGGTTTTCAACAACATGCTTAGAGAATTCTTGAAGCAGATAGGTGTCAACCCAGTGAAAACAACATTTTGATTTATTTTTTTTTTTAAGTTTATGGTGATTGTGTCGGTTTCTAAAATAAGCAAATATTCAAGTCAAGAGATGTTTTGTTTTTTCTTCTGCCAAGAATGGGGTTAGGGGAGCAAAGACACAATTTGGGAAAGGACATATGTGCTATTATAGGGATCACCTTTAAGTTTCTGGGAAGGAATGGGCACGGGTGAGTAGGTTGGCTCAACATTGTCCTGCACTGCTTATTAGGACCTGAGACGTGCAAGGGAAATGTGGGTGACATCAGGGCACCCAGGGCACAGCCCCACTAACTGCTGTGCTGAGTTTCTGTAGCCTGCCACGTTTCCCTTGGTGAAGTAAATGAAGATCAAGGAGTCATTTTATGATGTCCTGGTGCTGAGAATAATAAATGTCTTGTTACAAACAGATGTAACAATGGTTTTTTTCTGGATTATTATCAGGGTGGTCAGCTCTGGGTTAAGCACCCACATCCAATTTGTACAATAATATTGATACATAGGGCTACGCTTATTACTGCTCAAGCATTCTGTTTTAATAATTGTGTTTTACTTCTAAAGGTTAAATAAAAGCAAAAAATGGGGCTAAACTATCAAACTGTTCCCCTATTTGTTTTCTCCAGTGTACAACATATATATGTATATATTTTATTTTATTGAAGATGCAGTAGGATACCTGCCATTTAAGAAAATAAATAGAAAATTTAAAATCCCAACAAATGAGAAAAAGAAATTCAGTACCCAAGAATAGGGCTGGTCCAGCACCACCCCGAAGTAGGCTGTGGTTTATGGAGTGAAGAGCCTTGCTCCCTTTACATTCGCTCATGCTCCCACACAAGGCTAGCAGTAGAAATGCTTGAATTCTGCTTGGCTTGCCAAGGGGACTCAGGAGTCAACCAAGGGAACTATTTGGCTCCACGAGGAATGGACACCTCAGGATGCTTCCTGAACAGGGCCTAGTCAGGAAGTAGCCTGGATGTGCATAGTCATGGTCACCTTATGAAAATGTGTGGCAGGTGGCTCTCGGGAAAAACACCAAGCCTGGATCATCTGTGTGGCAGCTTTGCCTGGGGAGGTAACAGCTCCAAATTGAAACTGAACTGCATCCTACATGCTTTACCAAAGCAGTGATGAGAGTGATCAGTGCATGTGGTGTGAGTGGTAGGTTTAAAAAAAAGGGAATGTTTTGTTTTTTTTTTTTTTTTTGAGACGGAGTCTCGCTCTGTCGCCCAGGCTGGAGTGCAGTGGCGGGATCTCGGCTCACTGCAAGCTCCGCCTCCCGGGTTCACGCCATTCTCCTGCCTCAGCCTCCCAAGTAGCTGGGACTACAGGCGCCCGCCACTACGCCCGGCTAATTAAAAAAAAGGGAATGTTTTACGCTCAGTGTTTCCTCTGTCTTTGGGCTACTCAATCTGGACAATAGGTAACCATTCTTTTCAAGGAATCAACCCAACTTTGCTGGCTTGGTTTGTGGTTTGTTTCATCCCTAGCTATGAGCATGCTTTGGTCTATAAACGTGGCTTGTCTCATAATACATTCCCTTTCTGTAATTTTTTAAATTTTTTATTTCCATAGGTTTTTGGAGAACATGAGGTATTTGGTTACATGAGTAAGTTCTTTAGTGGTGATTTGTGAGATTTTGGTGCACACATCACCCGAGCAGTATACACTGAACTCAATTTGTAGTCTTTTACCCCTCATGCCTTTCCCACTCTTTCCCTTGAGTCCCCAAAGTCCACTGTATCATTCTTATGCCTTTGCATCTTCATAGCTTAGCTCCCACTTAAGAGTGAGAACATGCAATGTTTGGTTTTCCATTCCTGAGATACTTCACTTAGAATAATAGTCTCCAATCCCATCCAGGTTATTATGAATGCCATTAATTCATTCCTTTTTATGGCTGAGTAGTATTCCATCACATATATGTATTTATGCATATATATATATATACATATGCATATATATATATACATATGCATATATATATACATATACATACACACACACACACACACACACACACACACACACATAAATATATACCACAGTTTATTCACTCATTGATTCACGGGCATTTAGGCTGGTTCCACATTTTTGCAATTGCTAATTGTGCTGTTATAAACGTGCATGTGCAAGTATCTTTTTTGTGTAATGACTTCTTTTCCTCTGGGTAGATAACCAGTAAGATTGCTGGATCAAATGGTAGTTCTACTTTTATGAATTGTCCTTGTTTTTCTTTAAAAGTTAATACTTTTGATCACTATAGTTTGTTAGTGTTGGATTGTTTCCACTTTGAAATTTCTAAACTTTTTCCCTTCATAATGTTAAAACAAGTTATGTTAGATGCCCTTTCAACATGAAAGGTCTGTAGTTAAGATATTACATATATTTTATTGTTTATAATAAAAATCTAGACATAAGAAGTGCCAAGTGTTAATTATAATATTTTGCACAGTATCTTTTTTCCCATGATGTGTTAATATCTACAATTTCATTAAATGTTGATGTTATTCTCTATTGAGATTCAGAAGCCTAGGGAGCTATGTGTTCATTTTGGTTATTTTTGTTGTTATTTCCCTGAAGCAAAAGACTACATGGCCTTCAGTGCAACAACCTCAGTCCAATTCTGAAGTTTATTATACTTGCTTGCCTCTTGGCTATTTAACTTCTGAGTGCAAATCATTGAACTCCCTAATGAAGTATTGTAGAGAATAAATTAAAATGAATAAAGAAAAATACTTCCTCTTCAAGGAGGTTCATGAAAAGGACTCTAACAAGTATGCTGGAATTTAGATTTCTTATGAGTTTAAGATTATACCACTGGACTGGGAAAGAATTTCCAGGACTCTAATGAAGAAACGATGGCTTCTTAAAACATCTAACCCAGATCAAGTAGAATAAGTTTAATGAATGGGACTAAACAAACTGATGGCAATATTTTCGAGTGACTTTTTGTTTAACATTTTGCTGTTTTTTTTAAATTTTTTGTTTTCCAGATTTGAGAAAACTTTTAAAAAGCTATCTATAGCATACAGCAATTTGGTAAAGTATACTTTTATAAATAAAAATGGAAATATTTATTTTTTCTTCCTACCTGCGGCTGCAGTCTTCAGAGAGCTCTTATTGATATTTTTATTTTATGGCAACATAGTTATTTGCATTAATTCAATAAAAATCTATTCTCTTTGTAACAGGATAGAATTACAAACATTGGTTATATTATAAATGGTTTGACTTGAATGTGATATTTGAGACTATGCACAGGATGCCTAGCTTCAAGGATTCCCAAGCTCACAGTGAGTGAATAAACATTTTTACCTCTTGACAGGCCAGGAACCTCCAGATATATTGGAGACCTCAAGAAGAGAGAAATTCATGCAGATTTTTAGATACTGCAGCCAAAGTCTGATGTTCGCCCTCCTTTGACTTCTGACCCTTGAAAGGCTTTTAAAAGTCTAATCTGAGATTTCTTATCAAAAGTTCCGTCAAAATAAACTTAAAAACAGCCCATGTTTCATCCCTTTTCTTGCTATACTGTTGTCAATAATCATGCCAAGTTTAATGAGACTAAACTTATTCAGCAGACAAATTAGTCTTACTCTGATTATCTTTAGTAGAAATAGGGATGATTGTACAGAGAAAAATTATGTTTCTGAAGAAAAACTGCAGTACACCTGTTAGTAGATTGTAGTTTTCTTTGTTGTTTTCAAGTTTTTGTCATCTATCTCTAAATTAGACAGGGCACTTAATTATTCTAATTTCCTCCAACGTCTGGCTACGATTCTCCAACTAAGAACATAAACTGCCTTGTTCCTAAAGTCCTATAAGTTGGAGCCAGAAAACTCCATGTAAATTTCAAGAGAGAAATCTCATGGCTATTGTGTGGGCTACAAAGAGAATTGACTAAAATGCCCCATGCTATACCCAGGAACATTCAAACTACAAACCAGAGTAAGAAGTTGATGACATCACAGTGTGGAAAGCTTTTCCCAAGACATTGTAACAAAACTGGACTCTTATCCTTCTTATTTTTTTTTTTTCTTGCTTATGCCTACATTTTTCACTTGGCAGAATAACGCTGTGGTTAGAATTTCACATTCAGTAGCTTCCGTAACTGAATGAAGTTTTGGATCTGTCGTGTCAAACCCACATCTTTACATGACCTAAGGGATCCTTTAGTCCACCCAGTGGGTAACTATGGCAACATCCCTAATTTATTTGCCACCTTGGGTTTCATTGCAGGCTTCACTGCAAAGGCTATTGCCGCCCAGCAGTGCTCATTAAAGTATCTTGCTGAGTAGCCGTAGATAACACAACAGGACAGGATGAGATAACTCTCAATTATCTACTGGTTGAACAAGAATGTCTGTGCCATTGCTAATAACTACATGCTGTACCTGAATATATTTCTCTGGGGAAGTCAAGACCTAATTGCATAAAATAGCAAGACAGGCTTTATGGCTACAACAGATCTCACTCAGTCTCACATAGACTTTTGATTCATTAGTTGGCTGCCTTTGGGTCCATGTTCATAGACAATATTTCATGTTACTATTAATTTTGTACCGCATCATTCTTTTTAAACTTTTTATCTGTTTCCTGTCCAACCTCTGCAGAAATGATGCATCTAACAGAATAACACTGGTCCAGAACTTCCAAATGGTAGTCAATGCCTATGGAACTGACAAAATTGAACTTAGCAATGAACTCCAGGCAGATTTATCCTGAGAGCCACTCCTTCTGAACCTCTTTGTTTCTTAAATGTGACTAAAAGGGTTTTGACATCTGCTCTTAGTTGCTGGCCATTCACCTCTGATGCAGGATCAGACTAACTAGGAAAGGTCCACTCCAGCACCAAGAAACAATCAAAACCTAACTATAGGCTGATTAATCAGCAATGCTTTCAGAAAAAATTCTTGGTCAAAGGGGGGAAATGTTAAAGTTACAAGCAAAGAAGTTGACTCACTGAAGTCAAACCACAACAAAATGGAGCTGGGAGAGTATAAAAGAAGGCCCTTCATGCATGGATGTCTCTAAAAGAACTATTGCAAGGACTCCCTGAAAACTACAAAAATTTTAGATACGACGCTTCTATGAAGACATCTTCCCAGCAATAGCCAGTATCACCGATGAGTATTTGTCCATACCAAGCAATAAGCTTCTGGGGCCAAAGAGGTTTATTTTAAAATAATTTACATGAACTTCACCTTTTTTTTCTTTATTTCTTCTTCTTCTTCAAAAAACAAACAAAAGTGATATATGTGCAGAACGTGCAGGTTTGTTACATAGGTATACGTATGCCATGGTGGTTTGCTACACTTTTCAACCTATCATCTAAGTTCCCTCCCCTCACCCCCCAACCTCCAACAGGCCCCAGCGTGTGTTGTTTCCTTCTCTGTGTCCATTTGTTCTCAATGTTCGAATCCCACTTACGAATAAGAACATGCGGTATTTGGTTTTCTGTTCCTGTGTTAGTTTGCTGAGGATGATGGCTTCCAGTTTCATCCATGTTTCTGCAAAGGACATGCTCTCATTCCTTTTTTATAGCTGCATAGTATTCCATGGTGTATGTGTACCACATTTTCTTTATCCAGTCTAACAGTGATGGGCATTTGGGTTGGGTCCATGTCTTTGCTATTGTAAATAGTGCTGCAATAAATATATACACGTATGTTCCCTTACAGTAGAATGATTTATATTCCTTTGGGTATATACCTAGTAATGGGATTGCTGGGTCAAAAGGTATTTCTAGTTCTAGATCCTTGAGGAATGCCCATACTGTCTTCCACAATGGTTGAATTAATTCACTTTCCCACCAACAGTGTAAGAGCATTCCCATTTCTCCACATCCTCTCCAGTATTTATTGTTTCCTGACTTTTTAATAATCTCCATTCTAATTGGCGTGAAATGGCATCTCATTGTGGTTTTGATTTGCATTTCTCTGGTGATCAGTGATGTTGAGCTTCTTTTGTATGTTTTTTGGCCACGTAAATGTCTTTTTTTGAGACGTGTCTGTTCATATCCTTTGCCCACTTTTTGATAGCGTTGTTTGTCTTTTTCTTGTAAGCATGTTTAAGTCCCTTGTAAATTCTGGATATTCGATCATTGTCAGATGGGTAGATTGCAAAAATTTTTTCCCAGTCTGTAGGTTGCTTGTTCACTTTGATGATAGTTTTTTTTTTTTTTTGCTGTGCAGAAGCTCTTTAGTTTAATTAGATCCCATTGTCAATTTTGGCTTTTGTTGCAATTGCTTTTGGCATTTTTGTCATGAAGTCTTTGCCCACCCTGCCTATGTCCTGAATGTTGTTGCCTAGGTTTTCTTCTAGGGTTTTTACGGTTTGGGGTTTTACATTTAAGTCTTTAATCCATCTTGAGTTAATTTTTGTATAAGGTGTAAGGAAGGGGTCCAGTTTCAGTTTCCTGCATATGGCTAGCCAGATTTCCCACATTATTACTGAATATGAGATCCTTTCCCATTGCTTGTTTTTGTCAGGTTTGTTGAAGATCAGGTGGTTGTAGACGTGTGGTGTATTTCTGAGGTCTATGTTCACCTTCATTGGTCTATATGTCTGTTTTGGTACCAGTTCCATGCTGTTTTGGTTACTGAGGCCCTGCAGTAATGAAGTCAGGTAGTGTGATGCCTCCAGTTTTGTTCTTTATGCTTAGGATTGTCTTGGCTATATGGGGTCTTCTTTGATTCCATATGAAATTTCAAATAGGTTTTTCTAATTCTGTGAAGAATGCCAACGGTAGTTTGATGGGGAACTTCACCTTTTACCCTTAAAAAAGCTTCGGCTCCCCCAGCTTTTTCAAATGTGCCTATGGTTCAGTACGGTACACATATCCCAAATTGCAGTTCATTGCTCTTCCCAGATAAACTATTTTGAAAAGTCAGTCTCTCTGCTGTTTATTTTAATAATTTTTAATAGAAGTACATCTTTCTTAAAAGCATAGCAAAAATTTTAAGTACATTCACAATAATAATAATTAGGAAACAAATGATCATTGCTTTGATTTTAAGAATTATTAATTTCTTTAATTTTTCAAGTTGAAATATAGAACATGTTTTATTTAGTTACCAATTTATTTCTGTATTTTTCATGAAACAATTTACTTTGGTAAGAAATTTCAAGGAATCTGTGGCATAAATACATATTTGGTCAATGTTCCTTGACCCAAAGTATTAAGGCTGGGTTGTATTTAATTCAGTGACTAAGTAATTTAGTCAGGTTATTCAATAAATTAATGAGGTAATAATCTATAAATTGTTATAATCTGTAAATCTATAAATCATATGTAAAATTGTATTATAAAAAGCAAATGAGTCTTTCTAACAATAGCTAGTTCCGACAATAAAATAACTTCACTTTTAGTTAGCAAGCCCGTATTACATTTCTAAATATTGAAGTCTGTGCAGTAGTTAATGAACTTTTAGTCAATTATTGAGAAAAAAACTTTTAGTACAGTAGAAGATATAAAAAACATGATTGAGCTCAATTTCTCTTTTTTAAAAAATCACTGATTTCTTGGTCAAACTTTTGCTTCTTTTGGAACTTTTGAACTTTGTGGCCATGTGAAATGGCACTCTGAAACTTCTAGTAGACTCAAATTGAGGTAACTTTCTTGCTCACGACAATTTTATGTCCGGTTTCTAATATAAGCCATTATTTCTAACACATGCCATGGTTCCATGTTTGAACTAATGTTAATACCACCTGCCCCTACATGACTGAGTCTGAGCACATCCCTGGGCCACATCAAGCACCATGGCAGATTAATCATTCCTTATGGTTTTAACAGGCAAGCTGGGGAAAAAAAATAACTGTCTCCTCCAACTTTGGTTATGCGTGAGTTTCTTACCTTTTAATGGTGAAAAATAAACTTATCTGTCATAGGAGAAAATAACATTACACTCATATGGAAGCAGAGGTGAGAAGTGAAGCCTTAGTAGTGATGTCATCGTTGCCAATTACTGAAGCCAGGAAGTTAGGAATCATCAGTCTTTTTCTTTTGAATTAATGTGACAGTAGTCGAGAGAGAGAAAAAAGTAGGCATGCTGTATGTTATTTAGAGGATAAGATCTATAGATTTGAAATTGATTTGGCATAAACCCACAGGAAAGTGAAGAATCAAGCATGTATTCTAAGCTTCTGGCTTGAGCAAGTGAGCAATCAGCAACATCAGCCCTATGACTTACTAGATTTTTACTGAGGTATACTTTGTAATGTAATAGCTGCGAGAAACTGAATATCATTGAAATTTAGAAAAGGTTATGACAATGTCATTGGGTTAATAGATAGCCTTTTCTTACAAAGATTTGTAAAAAATGAGAGGCCCTAGACATTTGCTGTGTATATTATGCATAAAAATACCACCTCCAGTGAATTCGTTTGGAAAAGAAACTCAAAGCAAGGCCAGACAAAGGAAACAAAAAGAAAAGAAACGAAAGGGAAAGGACAGGGAAGAAAAGGCAAGAAAAAACAAGACAGACAAAAAATTGGAAAAATATGACAGAGAGAGCAAGAATTGTATATATCATAATTTTATAATATTTTAAATTTATAAAATTATTTTTTGACTTTTTTTAATTCAAGAAGACCCTGGATATAAGTCCATCAGTATATAAATAATTGCTAAGAACTGGGACTAAATTTTAAATAAACTACACTGTTGAAAAAGCCAATATTTTCAAGAAAATTGACCAAAAGGTATCCTTGTCTTCATTTCCACTGACATCTTATGACTGCCATATTTTTTCAGCTATGGCTCTTTTTCTACCAATGGCATGTCACAAAAATGTGTGAACCTCTGGTCACTCTAATTAGTCATACCAATATTGCATAATTTTACCTCAGAATGTTTTTTCCAACTACATTCTTTCTCCAGGGGCATTTATATTCAATGTTTTTTCCAGGGGCATTTACATTCTGAATACCGTGCCTCAAAGTCAAACTGGTTAGCATTACAATCTTGTCTGGTATTATATATGCATTTATTAATGTACAAATTGACCTCAGAAATAGAATATATTTGTCAGGAGTTTTAGGTCTTGTGTTCCCAACACCTAACAATAGATACTTGTTGAATAAATTATGAAAGGGAAAAATAATTTTTAAGAAATTTTGAAAACTTAAAAAGGAAACAAAGGTGCCACAATGGAAACAAAATTTCACTTTTTTTTCTCTGAGTTTAGAGTAAATCTCAGATTCAAACACATCTGAGGATGTACAATTATCAATTATGTAATTCCAAGGGAAAGTAATTTGTACTTACAGGTTAGATATGATAATCAATTCACTTAATTCTACTCGTTTCCTTTAAAAAAAAAAAAAAGAGGCTGTCAGAAATAATACATCACAGTAAAACCTCCTATCAAACAAGAAAAGATTGTATTTGGGAAAACATTTTCATAGACCTAAATTGAGTAATGTTTCCAACTTACATTTCACCAGTTAAGCTTCCCATTAGAAAATGTGTTTGTATGACACCAGTTCCACTTGCATTTTTTTCCCATAGGTTTCCCAGCAGACGTTTACAATCCTTTAGTGATGTTATAGCCAGAATTGTATTAGGTAATAATATAAAATCCCTAAATTTTATGTACAAACCTTCACTGATATTTTTAGTTATCATGAAAGAATCCTTGTATTTATTTCTATTCTAATTCTCCTCATGTCATTGGTATTTTATATGTATTCATTGTAAACATGTGTTGAATGTTCTAAATTTATACAAGCAAAACAATGTACATATTCTAGAGCTTAATATTTTCCCTCTCCCTGTTTTTTTTTCCGTGGCTTTCTCTTGCTTTCACTATTGCAAACTCTGACCCTGAGAGGCAAGAGTCGTGACCATTTAGTAAGATGTATCGTTGAGTATCATAAAATAGTTGGATAGTCTGCTATTTTTTTATAGTAGCAAAAATAGAATGTTCATATGCTTGCCCACGATTTTTATACATTTTTAAATTTGTCTACCACATGCCTAAATTTACCAAATTAAGTCCGTGTATATAAAACATTTGCACAAATGTTACTCAAGTTGTCTGAAATAAAAATACATGTATTTTGCAATTTAGAGCACATGACACTAAAGATGTATAGCTCCGTTAACTCACCTTCTGAACAAATTTCAGCAAGAAATTTCAGAATGAATATAAAAAAGTTAAGAAATATTCTAATATATAGTAGCTGAAAAGTTTACAGAAGTAAAGAAGAAAGACACAAATTAGTAGATTCTGAAGAATTATCTATACGAACCCATAACTATTCTCTTTATTTTGGATATTCTATTGTTTCCTTATAATTTGTTTATAAGTTTCCTTATAAATAAACAAATTATAAGGAAACAGTGGAATATCCAAAACAGAATATGCAAGCCAATTAACAATCACCATTTTTACCAACAAAAATATTGAAAGTCAGAAAATTGTGGAATATCTTTGAAGTGCTAATAAATGATAATGGCAAATCTAGAATTTTATGTCAATTAGATTTAGAATTCAAGAGCAGATCAAAATAGAGACATCTTCAGACAATCCAAAAACTGAGAGTTTACTACCAAGAATAGTAACTTTTACAGTATGTACCATAGAATAAAGGATAATTAACTGGATGTAAATTCCAAAATATTAGAAGAAGAAAGGATGTGAAAAAACATATATAAGCAGTCACAATTTTATTTAACAAACACACCAACAATATGTGATTTGTGGGAATAAGAAAAACAACATGAATATAAAATAATGAACAATTTGTAGCAAATATTTTTAAATAATTGCAATTAAAGAGCCCTAAGACTTTGTATTGTTTGGGCTTGGTGTTAGTAAACTTTATATTTTATGTTAATAATGTTTATTAGAATATCAAAATTGCCTAGCAAAAGAAAACTGATAATGTGAATAATTTCCAAAATAAAAGAGATAAGTTACAAAAAATGTTAAAGTAAACAAATGCAAAACAAGGCAAAAAAAAAAAAAAATCAAAGTGAGAAAGACCAGCAAAGTGAATAAAAGGAAGAAAATATGACTTTAAATATAAAAAAATAAATAAATGAAAACCTAAAAAATAACATGCAAGTTGCCAAAAGAAAACGATTTACTTGACTGAATAAAGGTCGTTAAAGGATTTCTTCAGCTGGTGAGCACCAGGCAAACCTGAAGACTAGGTGGTTCCAGACTGAAGTAGGATCAGGCGTCTAACAGAAGTCTGTGGAGTATGCCTGGTTTAGGCTGGACAGATATTTTCTGCTTTAACTGAAGTTGAGTTTAGGTTTTTGGGTTCTTTTCTGTTTGTTTTTGTTTTATCTGTTTATGTTCCACTTTCAGAGTCTCATTATCCATCAGAACAATATTATATGAGAACAGTCTTTGCAGTTGATGGGCTAACCACGTTCCCTGGGTGGGGCAGGGGAAGTAGACAAGAATAGGAATGAAGTGGATGTAAAGGAAGAAGGCAAGGGGCGGGGGATTATTACCCTCTAGTATGTTTGTTTTAATCGCTTTACACGGTTACTAGTTTTCAAATTTACTAAATATTTTATATGATTCAAATCATTAACTGAGAAATTTCTTTCAAATTCAGTGCTCTTTGCAAAGTACTGGCTAGATGTTGGAATCCAAAAATGAACTGTGAAAAAAGGCCCGTGTCCTCAGGAACTTATGTTCAGAAGAAATGGAAAAACAAAATTAAATAAGTGGATAAATACATGTGTGTTGTTTTACTAAGACCTTATTTATTAAATATTTTGCTAAGCCTATAATATTAAATCAGCTATTTATATATCTCTATATAACAATGGTTCTAGAGTCAGGAGGTTAACCTTGTGGATTCCTCAGTGACCTTGAGTAATCACTCAACCAAAATACATTTGTATTTAAATACGAACATAAGTTCGAACATTACGTTGTTACCCTAGCCACTTCACAAAATACGTTCGAACACTAGGTTGTTACCCTAGACACTTCACAAAATATTTGAAAAACACATGGATAGACAATTTGATGATTCTATAAATCTGGTAAATGAATTAGAAATATTATAAAAGGTTTTTCTGAGAGGATACCATCGAGCAAAAAGAAAATGACTAGCATTTGACACTATGTAACTTTAAATCTATATTTCAGGGACCTCTGTCACTTTCTTGGGGAATTGAATCACCTATTCCTACTTAGCAGCATGAAAATGAGTTGAATCTCCAGGTTATAGCATTTGAAGGCATGCCTGAGAGGAGCAGATTCAAAAATCAACAGGTGGTTGATGTTTTCTGTGGGGAGCATTCCTGCCTCAGTCCTGCTGCTGTGACCCATTCCTAAACAGCTTTGGGGTCTACAGTCCCCCTTGGTACCTGCTGGGGATTTGTTCCAGGACCACCACCAATCCTACCACCATCATCCCTTCATAGCAAAAGCCAGAGATGCTCAAGTTTCTTATATAAAATGGCCTAGTATTTGCATATAACTTACACACACCCTCTTGTATACTTTCTATCATTTCCAGATTACTTACATTAATAATACTGAATACAATATAAATGCTATGCACATAATTGTTATAAGGATTGTTTTTTATTTGCATTGTTTTATTGTTGTATTTCTTTTTAAAAATTATTTTTGGTATTTCTTTTAACAAATATGTTTGATTCATGGTTAGTTAAATCCACCCACAATGGGGGTATGGAGGGTCAGCTGTATTCAGGAATTTGCATTAACAGACTTAAGAGCCTAGTAGATTCTTTGCTTAAATGAACTCTGTGCAGACACAGCATTCAACATTTCTATTTTGATACTTTAAGCAGACTGCAGTGTTTGACAAGCTATTTCAGTAATATGCAATAATCTTTACAAAATAGACATAGATGTTCTGTGACCCCAAATTCTCTGAAACTCTAAACTCAATTATTGAATCTATAGTGGTGTTTCTGATCAGATTACAAGATGAAGGAAGCAATGGAACTTGGCCTAATGTAATGAAAAATATTGCTATCTCTCCACTGATTATTTTGGATGATGGGAGAGCTGTATAGCCATTTAACTAAAGAGGAATCCTTTCAGGAACTACTCTGAAGTACTTTAAGAGATGGAGTTGCTGAAGAAAAAAGATTGAAAACAATTGGCTTAGCTGTTCAGAGCATGGCAAGAATGTAACTATAATCTGTCATTGTGTGGGCAGACAGATGGCCTGAAAATTGAATAAATTGGAAATCACTGGAAGGCAGCTATTTTGTCCTTGAGTGCATTAGGTATCTTGGAAAAATGTTATTAAATGGTGAACAATTGCTATCGAAAAGTTTCTAGTTGTTTGGAACATAGAGTTACATAAAGTCAAGATTCTATTATTATTCTAATAATAGATAAAATCCGAATGTAAAGAAAATGTTTCCTATGAACTATGTAATTTAATTCTTATCAGAGCAATACTTTAAACAATTATTTGATTAGCCTGTGTTTGTGAATGTATATAAAGTAAGCAATAACCTTATTTTCTCCTCTTTGTAATTTAATTCATTAGAAATTGAGAATCTCAGACTTCTCTCCAGCCCTATTAAATCTGCATCTTCATTTCCAGGTCACTCATACACTGTTTAACTTTGAGAAGCACTGTTGTATATTGTCTTGAGAGTCCACACTATGAAATAAATTGGCCCTTATTTACTCCTCAATTGAAATTCTTCAGACTTTCTTAAAGTTTCTAAATAAGTCCCAGTTAGTGGAAATGAACTGAATTTAGTTTAATTTTTTTTATCATGCATTGCTGTCCAAAAGAAGAAAGCTTATTTCTGCCAACTTCTTCTTATCCTCAACTTCCAACCACTGTCACGTCTGTCTTCTTTCTTTTTAATATTTTCAGGTGAATTAGAGGTTTGTCAACCGTAAGAATGAAATATATGGTTTATGGCCTATTTTTATGTAACTGGTCATTCTGAGATCTGGAAAACACTACCTGTGTTTATCTGCAACTAAAATCTAGACACCTGAGCCTACACTGCATAGCGAAACAGGTCACTAGAAAAACACAAGCAATTTAGAAAGGCTTTTAATATTGAACAGTTGCATTTTGTTTCTATTCATGTCTATCGCTTTCTCTTTTTTATTCTAAATTGCTTTATTATATTCTATATTTAATATTCTATCATTAACATGTCAATGACAGTCAATAATAATTGAGGACTCAGGTTTTGTCAATACACTGATTTATAATTAGTACAATATGTTATGAGTTTCCTTCGCACATTAATATTATCAGCTCTTCATTTTTTGTTGTTCACAATATATCTTCAACTACCTTTTTATTTTTAGGCAATGTACATATTACAATTTAAGAATAACATCTTCTTTGTTAAATATTTATTTCCACCCCTTTTCAGAAAATTAGATGGTTTACATTTATTGTTAGAAATAATATAAAGCTTTTCTGGTTTTGTGCTTCTAAATAATATTATTAATATATTCTTTTGTAATTACAAAAGCTCCTTGTTTTTGTTTTGTAATTCCTTTCTCAATAAAATAGAGCTGCAAATATTTTGTTCCTTTAAATATTTCAAATAAATAATTTTCATTTATAATAAAAAATATAAAATATGCCAAAGAATTTATTATTTCAAAAAATATGTCATTCACCAATTTGCTTTTAGATTTGTGAATACAGTCTCATTTTATTTTAATACTTTAATCATAGATCTTAACTTTTTTATAATTAATTTTAATTTGTATTTAACATGGTAATAATATTTTTACTTAATTTTATATTGTTGGGTTAGTAGTCACTGTTAGTACACATAACTATTTTACTTTTTCAACATGTAATTTTCATTAATCTTATTCAGATAAAGTTCATTTTCACTATTTTTCTTCAATTGGAAATATTTCATATTTTAAAGACTTCCATTCCTAACAAATGTGGAATACAACATTTTTAGCTCAAAATATTTTTCAAAACAAAACAGAATTTTTCCAGTCTTCACATATAAAACTAAAGCAACAAGCTCAAGTCTATCCAGACATTTTATACTTCAGAAACGAAAATACTAATCTTACGTGTTTATGGCGGATGTTTTTCTTATAATTTTAGTTAAAAAATATTTGTAGAAGGTTTTTATAGTAATATAGTCAGAAAATTAGTCTGCATTTTTACCTACAAATTAAGCAGTATTTTAAAAATTAGCTCAGGAAATTTTATTTTATATTGTATTTTAGTCTGCATTTGAATGATATTTAAATTCTTAGATTTTCACTTTAGATGTGGGAACTCCGGTGCTTAATTCTATCCTCTTTAATTTTATATCTGTGATTTCTTCTGCTTTGTTTTCAGTTCTATTTTTTTCCTGCACTGCAAAAGAGTTTCTAAAGATTGTATTTAATATTACAAGCTTCATTTAGTGCTCTATCATTTGGCATTTACATTTTTACATAGTTTTAAAATTATATATATTTCTTTGTATTTTTTATCTAATTTTATACAATTTTAAAAATCATGCACCTCTAATATCTATTGACTAGGTTTAGCTTTCATTTCAGAGATAACATTAATAGTGAAAAATATTATCTTAAATGCAAAGATATTCATTATTTAAAAATTGATCAATGACATTCACTAAATTATCACAGGGACGAAAACATAAAATGATCATCTGTAGAGATGCAGAAAAATAATTTGACAAAATTCAGCACTGATTTATAAGAATTATCAGCAAAATAAGAACAGAAATGAAAATTGACCAACAACCAGAAATGACAGCAACAACAAAATACCAAGTCAGTAAAGATGGAGAGAAATAGGGAAGCAGTGAAGGTAGATGTCATTTCTGTTTTTAGTGGTGGAGTACAAGGTGTTCTTGTGCTTAAAGGTCATGTTCTTGTGATAAAACGCACTGCAGAGACAACACAGTTTAATTGGCTGAGGCAGGTGACTCCCTTTAAGCATCAGGGTGGAACAAACTACACGACAAAATGTAATTTTAAAGACCACTCTCATTCAAATGTAATAATATCAAAGCACCCTTAACTCATTAATGAGTGAAACAATGAGTGTCATGGTCTGAACTGTGTTCCCCTCCCCAAACCCGTATGTTCAAGCCCTAACCCCTAGTTATACACATAAGGTAAATGAAACCTCATTTGGACACAAAGTTTTTGCAGATGTAATCAAGCTAAAATTATCTCTGTAGGTGGGACTTAAAATAACATGGGTTGTCTTTATAAGAAGAGGGAACAGAAACAGATAGGATGTGGAGAGGACCATGTGAAGAGAGAAGCTGAGACTGAAAAGGATTTATGTATTAATATTGACAGAAGCCAAGGAACACCATCTGAAGTTCTGACGGCAACATCAGAAGCTAAGAGAAAGGCATGGAAAAGATTCTCACCTAGAGCATCCAGAGGAGAGGTTGGTCCTGCAGACACCTTGTTTTCTGACCTCTGACCTCCGCAACTGTGAGGGAAGAAATTTCTGTTGCTTAAAGACACACAGCTTGTGGTACTTCATTATAGCAGCCCAAGGTAACTAATATAGATGACAAAATTGGTTCCAAGGGTGTTTGAGGAACTGGACCTTTATAGGCATTATTTTCATAATACTGCATTAAGCTATGATAACTGGACTAGATTCAAAATTGGATAATGCCCTAAATGCAATAAAGCTATAATTTTGAGATAAAATTTTAATAGCTTTATGAGATATAATTAACATCTGGTATACTGCACATTTTTGAGGTGTGAAATTTTTAAACATTAACATACGTATATACTTGTAAAACCATCACACTAGAAAGAGATCTCAAGCCTCTTCTTTTGACTTTCAA
Organism: Homo sapiens; assembly: GCF_000001405.40. Taxonomy (NCBI): domain Eukaryota; kingdom Metazoa; phylum Chordata; class Mammalia; order Primates; family Hominidae; genus Homo; species Homo sapiens. Next base: position 835,567 of record NW_003315917.2, read on the forward strand.
CACATTGTCAATCCAGTACTAATCTGGTTTTATTACCATATATTAGCTTTTATTTTCTACAATTATATATCAGTAGAATTATAGAGTATGAATTCTTTTTGTCTTTTTTCCTTAAGCATAATATTTTTGAGATTCAACAATTTCTTGCATGTTGAAGTAGCACCTTTTTTTATTGTTACGTATTATTTCATTTCATAGACATACCACTATAATTTATTTACTAAACTCTTGACCAGAGGTTCTCAAATGAGGGACATTTTACCTGCCGGGGACATTTCCAATGTTTGGGGACACTTTTGGTTATCAGAGGTTTGTGGAGGAGGGGATAGAGTGTCCACAGGCCAGGGTTCCACAAAGGATAGCTCCCCACAACAAAGAATTAAGCCACTTCAACAGCTAATAGTGCTGAACTTGAGAACGCCGCTCTTGGTGGACAGTTGCATGGTGTCTGTTTTTGACAATAATGAATAAAGGTACTTGTGCAAGCCTTTTTACAGACTTATGCTTTTCTCCCCCCTAGGATAAATGCCTAGGGGTAGAATTGGTACATGTAAGGTAGATTTAGTTATCCAAAGTAGCTGTACTGTGTTACACTCCCACCGTCGATGTATGCAAACTCTAGAGTCTGGTTTCTTGACATCTATGCCAAATATTGGTAACACAATTTTTAAAATAGTAGCTTTTCTAGTAGATGTGTATAATTATCTCATTTTATTTTTTATTACTAACGATATTAAGAAATTTTTCATTTGCTTATTTGCTATTATATCATTTTTGTGTAGCATCTGTTAGTTTTTATAGCTCTCTTGTTTCTGTTGTACATTATATTTATATATTCTTGCTCTTATTCATAATAAATAGTATATATAATTGTGTAATTAAAAATAAACATTAAAGTATAAATATATTTACACATTTCTGTAGTTTATCATTATATAATTATTGCTTTCTGAATAAAAAGAAATGTATCCACAGTTTGGATAAAAAGAAGTGCTTTCATGTAGTTTACTAAGACATTTTCTGTGCTTTATATTTGAAGCCTATGCTTTCACTTTTACACATTGTTCCATAATATATTTTGGACTCCTTTAATTTTGAACTCATTCACGCTTTTGTTGTGAGGAAGGACTTGAGGTTTGTTTTCTTCACATTTATCTCGTAGTTCTGCACACTTTGTTAAATAAAATTATCTTTCCCCTTTGAATAACTGCAGTATCTTTGATATTATATTATTCATATAAGCATGGATCTATTTGTGAACTCTATTCCATTCCATTACTCTAATTGTTTATCCATCTACTAATAACACATTCTCTCGATGACTATAGCTTTAAGTTATTGCATGGTGTTAGGAAGTGTGAGTATTCCAACTTTTTTTTCAGCTTTCTATCATTTGTTTTTGCTCTCTTGATGTACATTTTTAAATCAGTGTGTCAATTTATATAAAAATATCTTTTGTGATTATGGTGAGGATTTCTAGAATGATTAATTTGGAAAAACCAAAACCTTTTACACACTAAAATTCACTGAACTTTCAAGCCATGATTATTGTATTAGTTTGTTCCGGCATTGCTATAGAGAAATACAGAAGATTCGACAATTTATGAAGAAAAGAGGTTTAATTGCCCCACTGTTCTGCAGGCTATACAGGAAGGATGATGCTGGCATCTACTTAGCTTCTGGGAAGACTCAGGAAACGCACAATCATGGCAGAAAGCAAAGGGGGACAGGCACGTCACATGGCCAGAACAGCAAGAGAGTGAAAGGGGAAGCTGCTACACACTTTTAAATGACCAGATCTCATGAGAACTCACTCACTCACTATTATGAGAACAGTATCAAGAGGGATGATGCTGAACCACTCATGAGAAATCCACCCCATGATCCAATCACCTCCCATCAGGCCTCACCTCTAACATTGGAGATTACATCATACCAGATTTGGGCAGGGACACACATCAAAACCATCAATTATTGTATGCGACTCCATTTATTTAGAACTTTCCTACATCTCCCAACACTTTTGCTAGTTTCCTATTTAGAGAGATCTTGCATGTAATTTGTTAAAATCATATATACATATTTTATTTTTATTAGTATTTTACATGGATTTGATTTTTATCATTAATTGCTCATTGGAAATATATAGAAATAAGTTAATGGGTTGACTTATTTTTTCTATGATGTGGCTAAAATTACTAGTTTATTCCAGCAGCTGATTTTTACAGTCACTAGAAGTTTATGTGTAGGTAATGGAGTTGTTTAAAAATTTAGAATTGTATTTTTCATTTCTTAACTGTGTATGTTTTACTTATTTATTTGATTTGTCTCACTGGTTAATTCCTCCCATACAGTAGAGAGAACAATAGTGAAAGAGGACACTTTGTCTTCTTCTGGATCTTAAATGAATAATTTATTAGTTCAAACTTCAGTGTGATATTTCCGTAGATGCCTTCTATTTGCTTAAGGATGCTTCTTTGTATTCTATTGGGGCGAGATATTTTTATTATAATTCTATCTTGAAAATGCCAAATGTTTTTTCTGCCTCAGAGGAAGTTTATATATTTTTTTCATTTTACTCAGTTAATGTGGTGAGTTTGAAAATTCAAATACTTGAAAAATCACGTTCCCATCAAACACTGCTTCTTACTGTGCCTTTCTAAGAGGACTACCTTCAACTTGGGCATTTAGAGGATACTTCCCTTCCTATAGCTCAGGGTTTTTTTGTATTTTTTTTATGTTTAAATTTTAGTGATATTTCTTTTATGTGTTTTTAAAATATTTTATGGGCTACTGCATTGACCCATTTGTTTCAACTTTACAGCTCTAGTTAAATATAAAAATTAATAAAATGTCAACACTCAAGTATTACATATATCCCTTGATCTGGTGATTTAGGACTATGAGAAAAATGCTCAATTTCCCTCGATAGAAGGAAGTATGAACTTTTTTATTTATTTATTACTGTAGTCTCACAGCCTAAAAATCAGTAGGTCTCCACTGGTCAGCAAGCAAATGATCATGATTGTTTTTCTGAATTTTTGACAATTTCAGAATAGGCAAGAAAGCTAAGTTTTAAAAATAAAATGCCAACATCAAGAATTTAAAATCAAATTCGTCACAGTGAATCCCAACAGGAAATAGTTCTTCATTTTATGATTACTCAGAGATTTTGCTTGTTGTAGTGGTCTTCCTTCTGGCTCATAATTTTTTGCTACTCTGCAGCAGAAATAATAAGAAATATTTTCCCAGTCCACAGCGGTGAAGGAGAAGAAAACTATAAATCAAAAGTAGCATATTCTGTGGATCATTTATTGAAATAAACACAGTGAGTACAAGATGGGTAATCTATTTGCATAATCAAAGACACCCTTCATCTGTGTCTATTTTTCTCTTTTCTTTTCTTTTCTTTTTTTTTTTTTTTTTGAGACAGAGTCTCACTCTGTTACCCAGGTTGGAGTGCAGTGGCATGATCTTGTCTCACTGCAGACTCCGCCTCTCGGGTTCCAGCAATCTTCCTGCCACAGCTTCCTGAGTAGCTGGCATTACAAGGTATGGGCCACCATGCCCGGCTAATTTTTGTATTTTTATTAGAGATGGGGTTTCGCTATGTTGGCCAGACTGGTCTTGAACTCCTGGCCTCAAGTGATCTGCCCGCCTCAGCCTACCAAAGTGCTGGGTTACAGGCATGAGCGACTTGCCTGGCTATGTCTATTTTTAACATAGTTATAGTGAACTATAATTATTTTTACATAAAAACTATTCTTACAAATGTTATATGTATTTTAAGAGCATACAAACTTACAGGTTTTTTTATTTAATAAAAACCAGTGGCAGATTGATAATGCAGAATATATTATTTGTAAAAAATCATTTGTTGTCATACAAACATATATTTTATTTGAAAATTATACTTTTGAATAGCTTTTTGGAAAGTTAAAGTATTCTCATTTATTGCATACATTTGTCACCAAAATTATACGAAAGAGTGTTTGATTCAAAATGTGTGTGTGTGTGTGTGTTCCTATATAGGACCCAGATAACACATATATATTAAATAAATAAATACATGTATATATATATATCATGCACACACATTTAAATATAATGTAAATGTGTGTGTGTGTGTGTGTGTGTGTGTGTATGTGTATGCAGATGCCCCTCTGGAAACAAATTTAAAAAGAATCCCCTCTTTTGAGTGTATAAAGAAGTTCCTTTCTTAAGGAATGGATAACAGGGGTTGGTACTTTGGCTGAATTCCTCTTCCTCTTACTTTCATTAGACTTGGCACTGTTGCATAGAACACAATTTTCCAAAATGTAATGTCTGTGTTATGCCTACAAATGTACCATACATAACAATTTGTCATTTTCTGTAATTACATACTGACCTATTTAACATTTATCTAACCACTTATATATCTTAATCAAAATAAATCAACCCATGTAAATTGTTTATTTCTATTGTCTTTCTCAGTATAATGCACAAGATACCTTTCTATCTCTATATGTATTTGTCATTTTCATGTCTGTCCCTACATGAGTTGACTCTATTTTTCTGTTACATAGATATGTGATGTTAGTACAATATATGTTAACTAAAAATGGATGATGCAACCTTTTAAAATTATAACCATCGCAGTGAAAATTATGTCTCTAAAATATCAGGGGCTTAGGTATTTTCAGATTAAATTAGGAAAAATAGAGTATCTTTCCATTTATTTATGTGGGCAAATTTCCCATTTGTTCACATTAAATCTTTTAATGGCATATTGCCTAAATCTTTCTCAGAAAAGCTTAGCCAAATTGCCTAGGATGTTTCCTTTCTCCCATATTACCATCACTGTATACCATCATATTTCTAATAATTTTAATTTTGGAACATGAAAATGGTATTTCAATTTAAATGCGTATGTTTTTCTATTTGCAAAGAGATTAAACATCTCTTCAAGTTTTTAAACTATATGCAGCCCTTCTTTTCTGCTATACCTGTTCATTTCCTCAAGCTATTTTTCCATCAGACAGTTTCATGTTTTCTCATTGATTTGAAGCTTCTATTAAAGTATTGTATACACATGGGTAAATGCACATAAGTTTAAAGCTTAGTGAGTTTTAAAATACTATGATCATCCAGAATAAGAAAATGTAATAGTCACACACCTGATTTCCACCCATCCCTCCTAACATAACACTATTCTAACTTTTACCAGTAAGGAATCAAATAGTGTGTGTAGTGTTTTGAACCACATTTTTTTGCTTAATATTATATTTGTGAGACGAATTGACTATATGACCTGCAAATGAAACTATTTATATTTATTTCTCTAATATTTTATTAGGTGATCATATTACAACTTATTTGTTTACTGTACTCTTTATAAGTATTTTAGTCCACTTTTGGGCCACAGTTTGGGGTTATTTTGGTGTTATTCTGAAAAGTGTTTTCATGAGTACACATTTTTTTTAGCTATATATATGCATGCATTTCTGGAGAAACCATCTTTACAAGTAGAATTTTGGGGCCTAATACATATCTTTATCCAAATTATTTGAACTAAGTTATGCCAATAACATCAATTTGAGTGTTCTAATTAGTCAACATTCTCATCAATACTTTGCACTTTCTCTTCAACTTAGAATTCTAAAATATTCCTTTCAAATTCAGGATTCTGAATGACAAGTACTTACATCTCATTGTGGTTTGAATTATTTTTTCAGGTAACCAATATAAATAAAAACCTTTTAATAAGTTCATTGGTTATTTGAATATTTTATTTTTGAAGTGTCTAAAATATTTTCTTTCTAATCCAGTCCAGTTATTTTTCTGTGGTTTGCTTCTTGTTGTCTTATTGAGTTCATTGCCTTTTTAATATTCTTTTCCGGTTAACATTTCCCCCTCATTGATCTGAAATGTTTTCATTATATACCACCTTTCCATATCTGTCAATGTCTTGATTTTCTATATGATCTTCATCTATCTGTAGTTATAACTCATTTTAATCATAGAAGCTTTAAGAATTGCTTAATATTTTGTATTGACTCCAAATTCCATTGATTTTATAGGATATTTCTAGCTATTCTTGCTTCTTTATTCCTCCAAGTAAATTTGTCTATTTTTCTAAATCTGGAAAAAGAAATTCTAGAAAATGTCGTTTTGTTATGACACAGAAGATATAAGTTTATTTAAAGAACTGGCACATTTATGATTTTAAGGCTTTTTCAAGAGCATGGAATTTCTTTCCCCGTGCTCAAGTCCAAATTTGTGCCATTCAGAAGTGTTTTCTAGTTTTTTTTATATATAGGTTTTAAACATTTCTGGTTAAGTTTATGCCCTCACATTTTATTTTAGTTTGGTTAATGACGTTTTACATGTGTGAGTTCCCTCAATTATTTCTTTTAAATGTTCTGATTCAATAGGAACACTCTCCTTAGTATCCTTAACAGAAATGATTCTTGTTTATAGAATTGCTAAATAAGTAAAGAAATTTTAAGTTAAATCATGGCAAGGAGTTATAATTATACTAAGCTTTTTTGTTCCTAGAGGTTTTGGCTCACTCATATGGTAATCTATATGAAAATTTTTCTGTGATATCTAATATTAGAAAGATCCTCAGTGATAGAATAGTGTTTCTTCCTAGCTGATTCATACATCTTTCTCTGCCAACATTTTGTTTGTTGAAGTGTTCCCCAACATATGACTCATTGCTTACTAAATCCCTATTGAGCAGCCAAAGCCCTGGTGACTAATTATGTCATTAATTTGGGAAAGTCAGAGACAATAAGACTGTCAGTTGAAACTTTGTAGGAGGTAAAAAAGTCACTGCTGTCAGCTGCAAAGATCCTTAAAACGGTCTTCAGTAAAGTCAAATTTTGTGACAAGAATTATTGCATCAAAGTCGGGGAAATACCTCTTAGATCAAATAAGATACATTGAAAAGCCAAAAATTATTTTTATCTCACTTTGGGTTCTCATAAGGTCTACCCACTGTTACTTGGATATGAGACTTAACAAATGGAAAAGAAGACAGGGGTACTGTCACACTGTATTTTCCTATGGCCTAATGACCACAATGGTTGATGAACTGCAGTAAAGTTTCTATAATATTTTCCATCTATTCATTTGCTCAATCACCTTGTAATGGTTATGTTGGTTAATTCCAGTCTTTCATGGGTAAGCAACAAAATGAGACTTAATTTGAAATATCCAGTATTTTTCTATTCTTACAAATAATTTTCAGGATCAATGCACTGAGGATTAGGAATGGCAATGTGTATTACTACTCTGATACCAACTATATCCAATCTAATGTTGGAATTTGTTTGACAAAGTGTTGTGTATTTGAAAACAGGCAGCACTGAATAAAAAGAATATGGGCAAAAGAAAAATGGAAGTGTTTTGAATAGAAGTCTAAAATATTTATTGATCAATGCTGAACTGAGTAAGCAGGAGATGCCTGTACATAAATGACATTATCCTGATCTAGTAACAGGGAGAAGCAGAATATCTGAAAGCTGTTTATTAATTTGATAATAATAAGATTAGAAACATGCAAATCAAGATTAATAGTATTCACTTCTAATTGGGTTTAGGTAGACTTTGACTATTTTGCTTCTGATGTTCTTATATTTTTAATTTTCTATAATGATCATATAACATATAATATTTTCATAATATTAAACATTTTAGAATTAAACTCCATTAGAGTGTGTCTTTCCTAAAGTAATATAAACATCCAATCTTGTCCTTAACAATTCTGTTCTCAAACATTAGCCTATTCCCTCAAGCCAGTGTTGCTTTCGACCCATATTGTCCATCATTTCAATTTATCTCAAAGTTTTTTATTGCAACAATTAAATGCTTTGAATGATACCCAAGGCATAGTTCTATTTCAACAAAATTTCAAAGTTAATAGTTACATCAAATTTTGTTGGTGCTCATTGAATTTGGTTATTAAAACCATAAGTAGTATGTTTTATGCTGACTGAGGGAGATAAAAGTAGTAATGTTTAATATTCAAACTGTGATGACTGAAAAAAAAAAATGAGGCCTGTAAAATCTTATTTAATGTCAAATTTTAATTAAACAGGCTTAGCAGACCAAAATTAAAATCTCAATTATTTTTAAATTATTAATGACAGACAACTAGATTGAGTGAACACTGGCATCTCTTTTCAAATAACTTAGTTTAGTGGATGAGTTAAACATAAACTAGTTATTATAATGCAGCGAAGTATGTGAAAAATTTAATTTGAACCCTACTTAGCTTAAAATCCTGACATTCTAGGATGCAAGTCCTGCAAACTTTCCATATGTAATCAACAATTTTCTAAACATGCATGCTGTATCTCTCCTGTGTGACTTTGCATACATCATTCCCACATTCTAGATCATCCCGACCCACCTTAAGTGACTGCTTTTGCACAATCTCCCTTAAAATTCTAACTCAAGCACTGCATCTTTTGAGTCCTTCCCTAACATCTTAACATCTTCCTTCTTTCATTCATCATTAACTATAGTTAGTTATTATAGCACCTGTTAGCACTGTAAAATTATGTGTGTTACACAAGTACAACATGCAGACTAAGGTCGTGTATTACCTAGCCTCATACCAGCGTCACCTAGAACAGCAAAAATGTATGCAGATTAATCACAATATATTTGGATGTACAAAACATATTGAGAGCAAAATATGATGGAAATTTAGGTGATGCTCTTTGAGCATTGCTTCCATTTTCCAATAATGTAACCAGGAATCACTGTTCATGTAATTAAAGAACAATAAGTCTATGTGAATCAAAATATACATATACATGCAAATGTTAAACCTCAGTAGGAAGAGGCCCATTCTCTTGCTTGCTGATATATATATATACACACACACACACACACACACACACACACACATATGTATGTTGTGTGTATATGTATATACACACAACAATCTATAGGCTTGCCTTTTAAAATAGTATAAGCAACAAATTTTAAGAGAAACAATAATGAGTGTGTAAAACATTAGATATGTGTATGTACCTTTGCTATTATTTGTGGAAATGGGGCTATAAAATAAGCTCCTTTATTTTCTTTTGTAAAACATTTCTTTAATATGAAGTAATGCAATACGTATTTATGTTCTAAGTGTTAATTTCCTTGGATATAAAATAATATCTTGTTCCTTTGATTCTCTTACATATAAGTGTATTTACTCAGATATTACTCCAAATACACCAGATATATTCAAAGTTGAAAAAATATATACTTTGGAATGTATTATCATCTTATGTCACATGAAGAAATCAAAATCTCTGGCATCCAAGTGCATTCCAGCCTGAAAAAAATTATGCAATTGTGAATTTAACAGAAAGCAAATTGCTCACATATGGAGTCAACGTGAAGCTATATCAATATTTATTAAAAGTTTATATATTACTTTTGATCCCCTGGAGAGAAATACAAAATTCAAATAATTATTCTATTTTTATATCCCAATTTGTAATTATGAAACTCTAGCATTTTAATTTTTCTCTTTCAAGTTTACCTGAAGCTTCACAAAATTCTGTGAGGAATCTATTATAACAGGTATTTTGCTTATTTCCACACAAACAGAAGGAAATGTGTATTTTCTATGCCCTGAAGAATTTACTCTTTTCTGTAAATGACATATGGTAGTTAATTCTTTTTGGTAATAAAATATTCCTGTTTTTAGGCCGAACAGCCTTTTCATTTAAATTCAGGGCAACATATCAAAGCTTTGCCGTAATAATACAGAGTAATCGACTAAAGTAATATAGAATTTAAATAACAAAGAGTTTAAACAATTTAATATGTCTTCTATTAATTTCAAACTGAAATTTTACAGAAATTATTTGGAATATGCTGCCAGAGTACACACACACACACACACACACACATCACACGCTCACATCACACACTCACACCCAGCTAAAGGAAATTACCACAGCTATAATGATTTCATTAAATATCTGAAATTAAAGTTTCTTTTGGATTTTCAGCTGAAGCTCATAGTAAATAAAAGTAATATGATCATTGTTGCATACTGTGAATCAACAGCACCCAGAAACCTTCGACTTTCTATATTTACACAGCTTAATTATCCGAACTGAAACCTGAGGCCATCTGTGTCAACATGATTTCACAATTCATTCCAGAAAATTATTTTTCAGGAAAGTAAGGCTGCAAACCAATAAATAACTTATTGTTTGCTTCAGGAAATTTCTGCAAATCAATTTATGTCAATAAGCAACTCTCCTCTGGGCCAACAGATTGCTCACCTGGGCAGGTAGCAGCTTGTGTCAATTAACAGTTTACTTATGAAGACTTCTGTCATGGCCCTTAACTCACAGTGTCCCCCAATCCTAAACTCTATGTCCTGAACATTACCTATTCTTATCAGTCATTGGTCTTGAAAGGCCCCGGGCAACCATTTGAGCCCAGACTTCAATACTCTATCAATACCACCTTATCATCTACTTTTCTAACATGACCCCTCAAGGTGGTGACCCCACTTACAGTCGTCTTTTATTGAATTTAGCTTTCCCTAATCAACATGCTAGTCTATTGGATGCAGTGTCAGAGGCAAAAATCACAGAGGTTCTGAAAGCATCAGCCCATGGTTTTCTAAACATCATGGTTCAAGACCCTTAACACGAAACAGAAAGTTTCCCCGAGGCGCCGTAAACAACCCATTTGGGCGCTTCCCTGATAATTATAGTGAAATCTGGCATCTAATTTTTTTTGGTGGACTCTCAAATTTTATATTTATGTTTTGATTCCTAGAAATAAAAAATGTTTTTATAAGGAATTCTTTGATCGTTTATGTTTTATTCTTGATAGAAACCTACTACTTTATAACTTCGTTTATGTTTTACTCTTGATAGAAACCTACTACTTTATAACTTCGAACATTATTGATGTTCTTCCTGTATTTCTGAGAGGTGACAGCTTGCTGGCATCCCTCGCTGGCTCTCGGCGCCTCCTCGGCCTCAGCCCACTCTGGCCGCGCTTGAGGAGCCCTTCAGCCCGCAGCTGCACCGTGGGAGCCCCTCTCTGTGCTGGCTGAGGCCTGAGCGGGCTCCCTCTGCTGGCGGGGAGGTGTGGAGGGAGAGGCGCGGGCCGGAACCTGGGCTGCCTGCGGTGCTCGCAGGTCCAGCGCGACTTCCGGGTGGGCGCGGGCTCAGCGCGACTTCCGGGTGGGCGCGGGCTCGGCGCGCCCCGCACTCTTGAGCGGTCGGCTGGCGCCGCCGGCCCTGGGCAGTGAGAGGCTTAGCACCCGGGCCAGCAGCTGCGGAGGGTGCACTGGGTCCTCCAACAGTGATGGCCCGCCGGCGCCGCGCTCGAATTTTCGCTGGGCCTCAGCCACCTCCCCGCGGGGCAAGGGGGCAGGGCTCGGGACCTGCAGCCTGCCATGCTGGAGCCCTCACCCTCCTCCCCGCCCCCGTCCCCTGCCCCCCGCCCCCCGCCCCCCGCCCCCCAACCGCAGGCTCCCGCGCGCCACCCCGAGGGGACGGGCGCCACCTCCTGCTACGCGGCACCCGGTCCCGTCAACCGCCCAACGGCTGAGGAGTGCGGCAGCGCGCCAGAGACTGGCGGGCAGCTCCGCCCGCGGCCGGGATGCACTAGGCAAAGCCAGCTGGGCTCCTGAGTCCGGTGGGTACTTGGAGAACTTACTACGTCTAGCTGGAGGATTGTAAATGCACCAATCAGCATGCTGTGTCTAGCTCAAGGTATGTGAACGCACTAATCAGTGCTCTGTGTCTAGCTAATCTGGTGGGGACTTGGAGAACTTTTGTGTCTAGCTAAAGGATTGTAAACAGACCAAGCAGCTCTCTGTAAAATGAACCCATCAGCTCTCTATGAAATGGACCGATCATCAGGATGTGGGTGGGGTGAGATAAGGGAATAAAAGCAGCTGCCAGAGCCAGCAACAGCAACGTGCTAGGGTCCCTTTCCACAGTGTGGAGGCTTTGTTCTTTTGCTCTTTGCAGTCTTGCTGCTGCTCACTGTTTGGCTCTGCGCAGAGCTGTAACACTCACCGAGAAGGTCTGCAGCTTCACCCAAAGATATTCCAAAGATACAGAAAACTATATAGAGACATTTTGTATAGTTCTAATAGCATATAATCCACAGGTCCCTGATCTATAATATGGGTTTTTTATAAAATTGTTTTTTTGTATGCTATGAGGAATTTTACTTGTTAAAAAGAAGAGGTGGAAAGGCAGAATATGAAAACTATGAAAATGACATAAGAGACTATGAATTAGGTGAGAAACCAGAGAGGTTTAGAAACCTGTAGACATTGTGCATCCCCCAATGCCTTTCCCCTTAAAAAAAATTATATTCTAATCCAGTCCATCAAATAAAGTCTACGTTCATTAGAAACATATTCTCTTGGTTTTTATAATTTCAGTTTTTTTCAGACACAGATAGTGCATATGCAGATTTGTTACTTTTGTACAGTGCACCCTGGTAGTGAGCATAGTACCCAGTAGGTAGTTATTCAGCCCATGCTCCCCTCTTTCCCCCACCCCCGTAGCCTGCAGCATGTCTTGTTCCCATGTTAATGTTCCTGTGTGCTCAGTGTTTAGGTTCCACTTATAAGTGAGAATGTGTGGTATCTGGTTTTCTTTTCCAGCACTAATTTGCTTAGGATTATGTCCTTAGCTCCATCCATATTGCTGCAAAGGACATAATTTCATTCTTTTTTATGGAGGCATAGTATTCCATAGTGTATATGTACCACATTTTCTTTATCCAATCCACCTTTGATGGGCACCTAGGTTCATTCCATGTCTGTGCTATTGTGAATAACATGCTGATGAACGTACGAGTGCATGTATATTTTTCTGGTAGAATAATTTATTTTCCTTTGAATATATACCCAGTAATGGGAATGCTGGGTCGAAGGGTATCTCTGTTTTAAGTTCTTAGAGAAATCTCCAAAATACTTTCCACAGTACCTGAACCAGTTTACATTTCCATCAACAGTAGTGTATAAGCATTCCCTTTACTCTGCAGCCTGGCCAACATCTAATTTTTTTACTTTTTAATTATAGCTGTTGTGACTGATGTGAGATGGCATCTTACTGTGGTTTTTGCTTGCATTTATTTATTTGATGATTAGTAAGGATGAGTGTTTTTTCATATACTTGAGTGTCTTCTTTTGAGAAAATATCTGTTCATGTCCTTTGCCTTTTCTTGATTTAAATTTTAAGTTCTGGGGTACATGTGCAGGAAGCGCAGTTTTGTTACATAGATAAACGTGTGTGGTGGTGGTTTGCTGCACCTATCAACCCATCACCTAGGTATTAAGCCCAGCATGCATTAGCTATTTTTCCTGATGCTCTCCCTCTCCTCAACCCCCTACAGAAAATTATAGTGTGTGTTGTGTGTTGTTCCCCATTGTGTGTTGTTCCCCTCCCTGTGTCCATGTGTTCCCATTGTTCAGCTCCCACTTATAAGTGAGAAGATGCGGAGTTTGATTTTCTGCTCCTGTATTAGCTTTGCCCTTTTTAACTGGGGTTGTTTTATGCTTGTCATTTTTTCTTCCTTATGGATTTGTTATATTAGATCTTTATCAGATGCATAGTTTGCAAATATTTTCTCCCATTCTGTAAGTTGTCTGTTTACTCTGTGGATAGTTTCTATTGCTGTGCAGAAGCTTTTTAGTTTGATTGACTTTCACTTGTCAATTTCGTTTTTGTTGCAATTGTTTTTAGAAACTTAGCCAAAAATTATTTGCCAAGGCCAATGTCGAGAAAAATATTTCCTAGGTTTTGTTTTAGAGTTTTCATAATCTGAAGTCTTACATTTTAACCTTTAATCCATCTTGAATTAATTTGTGTGTATGGTGGAAGGTAAGCATCCAGTTTCACTCTTCTGCTTATGGCTAGCGAATTATCCCAGCACCATTTATTGAATAGGGTGCCTTTTCCCCATTGTTTGTTTTTGTTGGCCTTGTCCACGATCCAGATGGTGGTAAGTGTGCAGCTTTATTTTTGAGTGTTCTATTCTGTTCCATTGGCTTAAGTGTCTGCTTTTGTAACAGTATCATGGTTAGTGTACACTTATAGTATAGCTGGAAATTGGGTAGTATGACGCCTCTCTGGCTTTATTATTTTTGCTCAGAATTGCTTTGGCCATTCTGGCTTTTGGGGGTGTTCCATATAAATTTAGAATAGTTTTTTCTAATTCTGTGAAGAATGATGTTGGTAGTTTCATGGAGATAGCCTTGAATCTACAAGTTGCTTTGGGCAGTGTGGCCATTTTAACATATTGATTCTTTTAATCTGTAAACATGGAATGTTATTCCATTTATTTGTGTTATCAAAATCTCCTTCCTTCCTTCCTTCCTTCCTTCCTTCCTTCCTTCCTTCCTTCCTTCCTTCCTTCCTTCCCTCCCTCCCTCCCTCCCTTCCTCCCTTCCTTCCCTCCCTCCCTCCCTTCCTCCCTTCCTTCCATCCTTCCTTCCTTTTCTTATTTCCTTCCTTTTTTGAGACAGAGTCTCACCCTTTCACCCAGGCTGGAATGCAGTGGAGTTATTATAGCTCACTGCAGGCTTGAACTCCTGGCCTCAAGCCGTCAGGGTAGTTAGGACTACAGGCATGTGCCACCATGCCTCGCTATTTAAAAAAAAAAAAAAAATTTGTATAGATGAGGTTCCACTATGTTGCCTAGGTTGGTCTCAAAACTCCTGGGTCCAAGCGATATACCTGCCTCGGCCTCCCAAAGGCATGAACCACTGCATCCAGCTTCAGATTTCAGCTGTGTTTTGTAATTCTCCTTGTGGAGATCGTTCACATCTTAGGTTAGTTGTATTTGCAGGGATTTTATTTTCATCCTAGGTGTTGTAAATATGATTGTGTTCTTAATTTAACTCTCAACCTGGATGTTGTTGTTGTATAGAAATGCTACTAATTGTTGTACATTGATTTTGTATCCTGAAACCTTGCTAAAATCCTTTATCATTTCTAGTAGACTTTTGTTGAAGTCTTTAAGGTTTTTTAGGTATAGAAGGATATTGTTGGGTGAAGACAGATAGTTTGCCTTAATCTTTACTTCCTATTTGAGTGCTTTTCTCTTTTTCTGTTGCAAGATTGCTCTGACTAGGATTTCTGGTACTATGTTGAATAGGAGTGGTAAGAGTGGATGTCCTTGGCTTGTTTCATTTCTAAAGGAGAATGCTTTCAGCTTTTGCCCATTGAGTATTATATTGGCTGTGGGTTTGTTGTAGATAGCTCTTTTTTATTTTGAAGTATGCTTATTTGAAGCCTCAACTGTTGAGGGTTTTTTTTTGTTTTGTTTTTTCATGAAGGGACACTGGATTTAATTGAAAGCTTTTCCGGCATCCGTTGAGATGATCATATGGTTTTTGATTTAATTCTGTTTATCTGGTGAATCACATTTATTGATTTGCATATGTTGAACCAGCCATGCATCCCAGGAATAAAGCCTGTATTGTCATAGTAGATTAATTTTTTGATATGCTGCTGATGGATTCAGTTTGCTAGTACTTTGTTGAGAATTTTTGAGTCTATGTTCGTCAACAGTGGTCACCTGAATGTTCTTTTTTTTTGCGTCTCTGCCAGGTTTTGGTATTAAGCTGCTTCTGGCTTCACAGCGTGAGTTAGGAAGGAGTACGTTCTCTTCAACTTTTCTGGAATAGTTTCAGTAGAATTGTACTAGTTCTTCGTTATACTTCCGGTAGAATTTTGCTGTGAATCCATATAGTCCAGGGCTTTTTGGCTTGGTAGATTTTTTATTACTTATTCAATTTCAGAGCTTCATATTGGTCTCTTCAGTATTTCAGTATCTTCCTGATTCAATCTTGGAAGATTGCCTGTTTTCAGAAATTTATCCATTTCCTCTAGATTTTCTAATTTTTGTGTCTAGAGTTATTCCTAGTATTCTCTGAGGATTATTTTGTATGTCTGTGGGACCATTTTTAATGTCGTTTTTGTCATTCTGATTTATATATTTAGATCTTCTCTTTTTTTTCTTTGTTTATCTAGCTAAAGGTCTATCAATCTCTTTTTTTAAATCAACTCTTGGTTTCATTAATCTTTTGTATGGATTTTTGCATCTCAATTTCATTCAGATCTTCTCTATTTTAGTTGTTTCTTTTCATTCCTAGCGTTGATGTAGGGTTGTTCTTTTTTTTTTCTTCCCTAGTTCCTTTAGGTGTAGTGTTAGATTGTTAATTTGAAGTATTTCTAACTTTATGATAAAGGCATTTAAACGTTCCTCTTAACACTGATTTAGCTGCATCCCAGAGATTTTGGTAATTTGTGTTCCCATTTTCATTAATTTCACTTTCTTAAAATTTCTCCCTTAATTTTGATTTTCACACAGAAGTTATTCAGGAGAAAGTTGTTTAATTTTCATCTATTTGTGTAGTGTTGAGAGATGTTGGTATTTATTTATATTTTGATTACATTGAGATCTAAGAGTGTGCTTGATATGATTTCATTTTTTAAAATTTATCCAGACTTGCTTTATGACCAAGCATGTGGTCAATGTTAGAATATGTTCCCTGTGCAGATGAGAAGAATGTATATTCTGTGGTTATTGAGTGGAGTGTTCTGTAGATGTCTTATTAGGTCCAGATGGTCAAGGGTGAAGTTTAAGTACACAGTTTCTTTCTTAGTTATCTGCTTTGATGATCCAGTGCTGCCAGCGGGGGTGTTGAAGTCTCCTACAGTTATTGGGTGGTCGTCTGTCTTTTTGTAGTCCAAAAAGAACTTGTTTTATGAATCTGGGTGCTCCATGTTGGGTGCATTTATATTTAGGGTACTTAAGTATTCTTGTTTGATCATATACTTTCTCATGACATAATGCTCTTCATTCTTCAATTGTTCTTTTTAATTTTGATTAAAGTCTGTTTTATCTGATATAAGAATAGTTACTCCTGCTTTTTTGTTATCATTTGCATGGCAGATTTTCTCCATCCCCTTATTTTGGGCCAGTGGCTGTCATTACATATGAGGTGAGTCTCTTGAAGACTGCAGATGGTGAGCCTTGCATTTTTATCCAGTTTGCCATTGTATGTCATTTAAGTGGGGGTGTTTAGCCTATTTACATTTATGGTTAATGTTGATACATGAGATTTTGATCCTATCATCACGTTTGTAGCTGGTTTTTAGGTAGACTTGATTGTGTAGATACTTTATAGTGCCTGTGAGCTATGTACTTCAGTGGGTTTTTGTGGTAGCAGGTGTCATTCTTTTTACTCAATGTATAGCACTCCCTTAAGGACCTTTCATAAGGCTGGTCAAGTTGAAATTGATTCCCTCAGTATTTGCTTATCTGAGGAGAAATTTGTTTCTTCTTCACTTAGGAAGTTTAGTTTAGTGAAATATAAAATTATTGCCTGGAATTTATTTTCATTAATGATGTTGGACATAGGCCCTTAATCTCTTCTGGCTTGTAAGGTTTTTGCTGAGATATTTACTACTAGCCTAGTGGAGTTCTTGCTTTATGAAAACATGACCTTTCTCTCTAGCTGCCTTTAAGATTTTTTTTTTCTTTTGTATTTACTTTGGTGAATATGATGACTGTGTGCCTTAGGGATAGTCACCTTTTATAGTGCCTAGCTGGGTTTGCTGTATTTTTTGGATTTACATGTCACTCTCTCTAGCGAGGTTAGGAAAATTTTCATAGACTCTATTCTCAAATCTATTTTCCAAGTTGCCTTTTCTCTTTGTTTCTCTTCTAGGAATGACAATGAGTCGTAGATTTGGTCTCTTTATATAATTCCATATTTCTTAAAGCTTTGGTTCATTTTCTTTTTTTAATTCTTTTTTAAAATTTTCTTTTGACTCAGTTGATTCAACGAACCAGTCTTTGAGCTCTGAGATTCTTTCCTTAGCTTGGCCTACCTTCTGTTAATATTTCTTACTGTATTATAAAATTCTTATACTGAATTTTTTCTGCTCTAGAAATTCAGTGTGGCTGTTGTTTAAAATGGCAATTTCATCTTTCAGCACTTACTTAGATTGCTTTACTGGATTACTTGGCTAGGGTTTCAACTTTCTCCTTAATGTTCATGAGCTTCCCTGCCATCGAGGTTCTGTATTCTATGTCTGTTGCAATTATTTTAGACTGATTAAGAACCATTGCTTGGTAGCTAGTGGGCTAATTTTGAGGTAAGAGGACACTCTAGCTTTTTGAATTGCCAGAGTTCTTGCACTGATTTTTTCTCTTCTGGTAGGGTTAGTGTTCCTTTAACTGTAGTGTATGTTGAGTATAGGCAATTGGTTTTGTTTCTGGATGCTTTCAAAGGGTCAGGGCTTTCTCTGTCCAGGATTTTTATGTATGAGTAATTCTTGTGTTTGGTTTCACAGGTGTATATGTAGCAGGATAAATTTTGATGTTGTAGTTTGGGATGTGATCCAATGCATAGTGCTTAAGAGTGATGGCCAGTGGCTAGCCTAATACCCAGTGGCATGGCTGTTTTATACTTCCTTTTGTTTGCAGGTGTGCTCTATAGTGGGGGTGGGAGAGATGCCTCCATCACCAGATGTGCTCCTGGGCCCTGGGGGAGTCTCCTGCAATCACTGTGTTTCTTGTGTTAGGTGTTCTAGGCCACAGGTCTCTCTCAGGCAGAGGCCCTTTCCTAGGAGCCATTCTGGGGAACTAGCTGTAGTGTTTGGGTTCCCTGCACAGGCTTCCTCCCTCTTCAGCTCAGCTTCATTGCTGCCTCTGCATCCACTCAGCATTTTCTCTCTCAAGATCTGCCTAAATTACGGTGGTTTACTCCATAATTTGGTATCTCTCAGTGGGGGTGGTGCTTCCTGACCATGTCAAATTGACCATGTATTGTCACAGAATGAAAACCTCGTTGATAGACTTTGTAACATTTTTGAATATTACATTCAGGAGTAAAATCTTACGCAGTGTGATCCCAGCTATCTCTTCACTTTTGAGAATAACCTTAAGTAATTAAAGGATAATTAAATATGTAATTAAAAATTGAAAAATATAACAGCTACACTTCCAGATGTCAACTTCTTTCAGAAAATTTTAAAATCTCTTTAAAGAAAGGTAAATTGAGACCAAAATAGATTAATAGCTTTATAAAAATAAGTGCTCAAGGAGGGTGTTACATGTGAAAATTAAACTTGGAATTTGTCATTTTACCCGTAAAATTACTGAGAGTAATTTCCTTGAAATGGAAATAACTTTACAAATTTTTAATTAACAAAAATGCTGAAATATTACTCCGCTTACCTTTATGTAACCTCTTCCTTGAAAACAACAATTTACTCATCTGGTGTGTGACTCTGATAACCTTCAATCATTCTCTATATCTGACACCATGACTAGTAACTTAGATCTTTAACTAAGCAACCTTTCTTTCCACCTTTGTGATATTATATCTAGTAATTTAATAACAGACAATCTATGTTGCAAATTAAACTTCCAAATTGAATAGTAATTTTCAAATCCCAAGGACCCATTTCTTCTGCCTCAATCTTAATTAGGTCTTAGTTAATAGAAAAATTAACTGGCTGGGTGCGGTGGCTCATGCCTGTAATCCCAGCACTTTGGGAGGCCAAGGTGGGCGGATCACCTGAGGTCTGAAGTTCGAGACCATCCTGGCCAACATGGTGAAACCCCATGTGTACTAAGAACACAAAAAATTGGCCGGGTATGGTGGTGGGTGGGTGCCTGTAATCCCAGCTACTCAGGAGGCTAAGGCAGGAGAATCACTTGAACTGGCGGGGTGGAGGATGCAGTGAACCGAGATCCCAGCACTGCGCTGCAGCCTGGGCAGCAACAGTGAAACTCCTCAGAAAAAAAAAAAAAAAAAAGAAAAAGAAAAAGAAAAAAGAAAATTAACTAAATCAAGCCTAAATAAAACATATTCACAAAGTGGCAGACTTTTTTAATCCAAAAATTTAACTGTATTAATGTCTCATTTATAGAACATTATTTTACAATGAGGTTTTACACATCAATCAGTTGAGTCACTTCTTTTTTTTTTTGAGATGGAGTCTCGCTCTGTTGCCCAGGCTGGAGTGCAGTGGTGTGACCTCAGCTCACTGCAACCTCCACCTCCTGGGTTCAAGCGATTCTCCTGCCTCAGCATCCTGAGTACAGGCACTACAGGCACGTGAGCAAGAGAAGCTGACAGATTCAAATGTTCACAAACATTTATGTTCTATTTTGATAGATACATAAACTATGTTTCTCATTCTTATATACTTTATATTAGGGCATGGGATTAAAGTCAAAATAGTGGAAAATTAGTAGAAATAACATATTTTATATCCAATTTAGTCTCCAAAATCCCAACATGCACTCTTCTGTATACGTTTTTCAGTATGCTTGACTGGAACGGCCAATTCTACAGTAGTCTTGGAAGCAACATACTGCAGATTAAATACCTTAGTAGCCTATGTTCTTGAATGCGGACATAAAGGAGCAATGCTTTTCCTATCTTAAAAAAACAGTTTATATGAATGAAACTTCTGTTCTGTTTAAGATATTATATGTTGTTGAGTGTAGTTGTCAAAGCAACTAGCACGATTCCAAGTAATATAGAAATCACCAGCTTGAGTTGGGTCTGCCATAACAGCACCTAAAACGTATCCACTAAATTAGTATTAAATGGACAAGTAAACCAAACTCAGAGGGTTGAAATGAAGACTTGTAATACCCAGTGAAAAAAAATTATTGAAACTACCATCTAAAATTAATTGGAAGCTTAATATTACCTCTAGGAAAGAGTGTGGGAAATGAGGAAAGGCAAAAGGTAATGTGTTCATGTTTGTTCTGTTCCATAATCCAAGAAATAGATAAACACAGGCAAAAAAAAAAAAAAAAAAAAGAAAAAAGAAATATCCTGTCTTTAGAGTGGAAAGAAAGTGGATAGAGTTGAGTTGCTAAACCTTAGCATTATTGACATTTTATGCCTGATATTCCTGCATTCTGTGGGAGGTTATTCTTTGCATTGTAGGATATTAATAGTATCTTTAGGCTATACCACCACATACCAGTAGCATCACCACCTAATCATTATAATTCAAAATGTCTCCAGACACTGACAAGTGTTCTATGGAAACAAAGTCATTCCTTGTTGGAAACCACTTGTAAACAAAAAGTCTAGTAATGGTGGAATTATACAGTGACAGAAAAGCTCAGGTTTTTCTGATTAGGTTGAAAAAGCTGCTCAGAAATTAAATCCTACTGTGTTCATAAAAAACAAGGAACCCAGCCCTGAAGCAAAGAACTCATCAGGGAAGTTGTTTTCTCTTTCAAGTCTATGATTTCAAATGACCTTAAAGTGGTCATCTTTACAGTCAGAGAAGCATATGTGTGTTGGGGAGGAGAAAAAAGAAGGAAATGAGGCAGACTTTAGAATTATACCTAGGAAAGAACTGTATGTTTGGTTATAAACTAGATCCAATAAATAAATAAATGGTTTCCACATAACTACTTGGCAAAGGTACAATAAGCCTATTGTGAGAAAAAAAAATTAAGGCTTAAAATATCCTCAAGCATCCCAAATTGCACTAATCAGTGCAATTGATTAGTCATGCTGAGAAAACACTCATTGTTCTAATTTAAGATGGAGGCATGGAGAATAAGAGAAAATGTAAATTACCTCAGAAAGTAAATCTATGAGCCACAGGGACAATGGACCTTAAAGTTATTTCCACAGGACATGTTTATGGTTTCATCAAATAAATATTTGTACTGCTCAGAAATATTTTTGTCAGTGCTCTGCAGACTTCTTTGTCTTCTGATAGGAGCTTCACCATGGTAACTTAGATTTTACAGATAATTTGTCTTTTGACTTTATAGGACACTAGTCCTCGTTAAGTCATATAGTGGCCTGAGGGAGA
The DNA here is from genome assembly GCF_000001405.40 of Homo sapiens. Lineage (NCBI taxonomy): Eukaryota > Metazoa > Chordata > Mammalia > Primates > Hominidae > Homo > Homo sapiens. Next base: position 857,430 of record NW_003315917.2, read on the forward strand.
GAACTGCACGTCATGAAACATCCTGAACTCTAAGTTGTAGGCAGTAACTGGGCAAAACTTTAAGTTGTTTACAGAGGGAAGAGAAGTGAATTTTTCATATATAAAGAAGTGTGCAAATTGTATTTCATGAGTAGTCTTTTGTCTTCTGGAATGGTGATATATACAAAGTAATCTGGGAAGATACAATTTGGTAATAGTAGATCCTTCGTTAACTTGAATTATTTTTTGCAGGAAAGATGCGTCTTTAGCCAAAATTACTTATGGTAAACTGTTATGTAAGCAAGAAATCACCTTCTACTTGGTTTAAGCTATTCAGTGTACTCTCTAGATAGATATGACACAAAGCTAGCATTATGATACAGTAAACCAAGTGTTAATGTAACTTTATGTTGATTTTGACTACATTCTGAAAATAATAAAAGTCATCTGGTATTTTAGGCTTACGATATGAACTTGATACTATGATAGGTGTCTGAAATGTTTATCTCATTTGATTCTTAGAACAAACTTATATTGTGGGTACTAATACAGTACTGATTTTTTAAATAAGAAAAAGGATTGCAAAAAATGTAAAAAGTCTTATTAAAGAGTACAAAATTCTATCTCCAAATGTGTAATGAATTTTATATAGTCAGTTAATATTTGTTTAGCTCAATAAAGTAATGTTCGGTGTAATAGTTGATTTCTTTAATGTTCATTCAGAATCACATTATCAATTTGAAATTAATTCACCTATTCGAAGAAGTTGCTTCCTCCAATTAAGACAGTATAGTAAGCAAAATAATGGTTTACAAAACAAACAAACCAACAAAAAAAAAACCGCATGTCCTGATTTCTGGAAGCTGTGAATATGTTAACTATCTGGTAAAAGGGGCTTTGCAAGTATTATAATGTTAAGGATGGTAAGATGAAAAAGTGTCCTTTTGAGTTCAGTGTAATCAAATGGGTTTAAACTAGGGAAACATTCTTGGCTAGAAACATAAGGTGGTATGATTTCAAAAGAATGGTCAGAGAGACACAGCATTTCTGGTTTGAACAAATGAAAGACCATAAGCTAACAAATCAGGACAGCCTCTGGAGGCTGGAAAAGTCAAGGAAACTGATTTTCCCCTAAAACCTTCAGAAAGGAACACAACAGTTCTCACTCTTTGATTTTAGCCTCATAAGATGCATTGCAGACATCTGACAAACACAATTGTTTGACACTATATTTGTGCTATTTTAAACCACTAACTTTGTAGTAATTGGCTACAGCAGCAGTAAGAAAATAATGCAGAGTGTTTCTATAATGGAGATAAAAGTATAAACAAGAGGCAAGGATTTCCTTCCTTCACAGTGTTTATAATATACTAAGAAAACAAACATTAAATACACAGGGCCCCAATAGATTATTCCACTTTAATTTTAGCTGGCACTGTGGAAGGAAAATAGAAATTCTAGAATATAGTGAATAGGAATATAACTTATTCTTATGTGGGAAGAAATGCTTATTACTGAATACTATTTGGGCTGAAAATAAATGCACTGTAGTTACAGTAAGTACAGTAAAAAAGGTAGTTTGCTATAAGGGAACAGAGCCATTGAAATGTAATGAAAGTCATCAAAGTTTTAGGCACTAACTATAAGTTGCAAGGAGTTAAACAATTATAAGCAGTCCGATTATTAAAAAAATATGTGCCTGATTCTCAAAATCACAAGTATTCTTTAAGATTGCTAACCGTAGTAGTCAGTTTTCACAATGATATAAAGAATGACTTGAGACTGAGTAATTTATGAAGAAAAGAGATTTAATTGATTCATAGTCCTTCAGGCTTTACAGGAAGCATGAATGGGAGGACTCAGGAAACTCAGAAAATCATGGTGGAAGGCAAAGGGGAAACAAGGTTCTTCTTGACATGGCACCAGGAGAGAGAGAGCACAAGGAGGGAAGTGCCACACACTTTTAAACCATCAGATCTCTTGGAACTCACTCACTATCATGAGAATAGCATGTGGAAATCTGCTCCCATGATCCAGTCACCTCCACCCAGGCCCCTCTCTTGACATGAGGGGATTACAATTTGAGATGAGATTTGGGTGGGGACAGAGGGCCAAGCCATATTATTTCTCCTCTGGCCCCTCCCAAGTATCATGTCCTTCTCACATTTCAAAACCAATCATGCCTTCCCAACAGACTGAAAGTCTTAACTTATTCCAGCATTAACTCAAAAGTCCATGTCCAAAGTTTCATCTGAGACAAGGCAAATCGCTTCTGCCTATAAGCCTGTAAAATCAAAAACAAGTTAGTTAATTTCAAGACAACAGTGGGGGTACAGGGATCAGGTAAACACTCCAATTCCATAAGGGAGAAATTAGCCAAAACAAAGGGTCTGCAGGCCCCATGCAAGTCCAAAACCCGACAAGGCAGTCATTAAATCTTAAGGCTCTGAAACAATCTTCTTTGACCTCATCTCTCACGTCCAGAGCATACTGATGCAATATCTGGGCTCCCATGAGCTTTGACAGCTCTGCCTCTGTGGCTCTGCAAGGCACAGCCCCCACAGCTGCTTTCACAGGCTAGGATTGAGTGCCTGTGACTTTTCCAGGCACACTGTGCAAGCTGTCAGTGGATCTACCATTCTGGGGTCTGAAGCACTATGACCCTCTTCTCAAAGCTCCAGTAGGGAGTGCCCCAGTGGGGAATCTGTGTGGGGGCTCCAACCCCACATTTTCCCTCTGCACTGCCCTAGTAGAGGTTCTCCATAAGGGCTCCACTTCTGCAGCAGACTTTTGCCTAGACATCCAGGCATTTCCATACATCCTCTGAAATCTAGATGGAGGTTCCCAAACCTCACCTCTTCCCTTCTGCACAACCACAGGCCCAGCCTCATGTGGAAGCCACCAAAGCTTGAGGCTTGTATTCTCTGAAGCAATGGCCTGAGTAGTGCCTTGGACCCTTTTAGCCACAGTTGGAGCTGAGCAGCTGGAACACTGGGCACCATGTCCCGAGGCTGCCCAGAGCAGCAGGGCCCTGGGCCCATCCCACTAAACAATTTCTCCCTCCTAGGCCTCCAGGCTTATAATGGGAGGGGCTGCCTCAAAGGTCTCTGAAATGTACTGGAGACGTATTCCACATTGTCTTTGCCATTAACATTTGGCTCCTCTTTACTTATGCAAATTTTTGCTTGAATTTCTCCCAAGAGCGTGGGTTTTTCTTTTTTACTATATGGTTAGGCTGCAAATTTTCCAAACTTTTATGGTCTGCTTTCCTTTTAAATATACGTTTCAGTTTCAAGCCATCTCTTTCTTCATGGACATGAGCATAAACTTTTAGAAGCAGCCAGGCCACATGTTGGAAGGTCTGTTGCTTAGAAATTTGTTTCACCAGATACCCTAAATCATCTCTCTGAAGTTCAACATTACACAGATCTCTAGGGCCGGGTCAAAAGGCTGTCAGTCTCTTTGCTAAAGCATAGCAAGAGTAACTTTTTCTTCAGTTCTCAATGAGTTCCTCATCTCCATCTGAGACCCCCTCAGCCTGGACTTCATTATCCAAATCATTATCAGCATTTTGTTCACAACCATTCAACAGGTCTCTAGGAAGATTTAAACTTTCCCATATCTCCCTGTCTTCTTCTGAGTCCTCCAAACTGTTTCCTACCTCTGCCTGTTACCCAGTTCCAAAGTTACTTCCATATTTTCAGGTATTTTTATAGCAATGCCCCACTTCTCTGGTACCAATTTTCTGTATCTATCTCTTCTCAAACTGCTATAAAGAACTACTGGGTAATTTATGAGGAAAAGAGGTTTAATTGACTCACAGTTCTGCAAGCTTAACAGGAAGCACGACTGGGAGGCCTCAGGAAACTAACAATCATGGCAGAAGGTAAAGGGGGAGCAGGTGCCTTCTTCACATGGTGTCAGTAGAGAGAAGAGCCGGGGGGAAGTTCCACACACTTTTAAACCATCAGATCTTGTGAGAACTCACTGACTGTCACGAGAACAGTATGGGAAATCCACCCCCATGATCAAATCACCTCCTACCAGACCCCTCCCCTGACACGTGGGGATTACGATTCAACATGAGATTTGTGTGGGGACACAGAGCCAAAGTATATCACTCACCTAATAAGTGCTTATCTTGATTAAATTGTATGGAAAACTACAACTTAAATTATGTGATCAGAAATTCTATCTAATGATAGACATTAATTCAAATGCCACCATGTTCTCCTGTCAGCTTCTCATATATTGTCATGGATATGATTTAATTGTCCTTCAGTGTCATGGAACACATCCTGAGATTCAGCTGATGAAGTTGCAAACTGGATAAATATAAATGATGATGTTTCAAAAAAGAAAATCCTCACTTAGTAAAAAAATGTTAGGTTTATTTTACACTTTCTTGACAGCTGAACTAATATAAAAAGCACTCACCTTGTTTCTTTCAGTTTTGTGTATGTTTTGATTGTGTCAGCTGAGTTCTTCTTCACGGGATTTTCTATGTGTCAGAGACACTTGTCCCCCATTCTGTTTTCCTGTGTAATCTCAAAATTGACAAGGGTCTTCACTGTATGTGAAAAGGATGTCTGTGTTGCTTGATTTTATGTGTGACTACTGTTTGCGATTGTCCTTTTCCCAATATGACATGTAATTTTACAGCACAGATAGTTTTTCAAAAGAATTACATTCCCAGGCTTAGCAGAGGGAGCGGCCTACTTATTGAAATGTGAAATCGAATCTCTGAAACAGAAACACCAAATTATTATACTAATCTGTAAAGTAGCTATAAAACGTTATTTTTCAGAGTGAAGTATCTGTCAAGATGGCTAGTTTTGGTGTATAATAGAAACGGTATTTTATTCCTTTTATTTCTGTAAACAGATTAAGTCTGTGTGTGTGTGTGTGTGTGTGTGTGTGTGTGTGTGTGTGTGTGTGTGTACATGGGATATAATACAAATCTACCTCGACTTATAATGAGTTACATCCTGATAACCACAGGCCAAGATGTGTTATGATGGATCTGGATATACTCATAAGTTGAAAATATTTTAGGTAAAAAATGCATTTAGTACATTTAACAAAAATACTGGCAAACCGAGTCCAGCAGCACATCAAAAAGCTTATCCACCAAGATCAAGTTGGCTTCATCCATGGGATGCAAGACTGGTTCAACATACGCAAGTCAATAGATGTAATCCATCACATAAAGAGAACCAAAGACAAAAACCACAAGATTATCTCAATAGATGCGGAAAAGGTCTTTGACAAAATTCAATAGCCCTTCATGCTGAAAACTCTCAATGAACTAGGTATTGATGGAACATATCTCAAAATAATAAGAGCTATATATGACAAACCCGCAGCCAGTATCATACTGAATGGGCAAAAACTGGAAGCTTTCCCTTTGAAAACTAGCACAAGACAGTGATGCCCTCTCTCACCACTCCTATTCAACATAGTGTTGGAAGTTCTGGCCAGGGCAGTCAGGCAAGAGAAAGAAATAAAGGGCATTCTATTAGGAAAAGAGGAAGTCAAATTGTCCCTGTTTGCAGGTGATATGATTGTATATTTAGAAAACCCCATCATCTCAGCCCAAAATCTCCTTAAGCTGATGAGCAACTTCAGCAAAGTCTCAGGTTACAAAATCAGTGTGCAAAAATCACATGCATTTGTATACACCAATAACAGACAATCAGAGAGCCAAATCATGAGTGAACTCCCATTCACAGTTGCTACAAAGAGAATAAAATACCTAGGAATCCAACTTACAAGGGATGTGAAGGACCTCTTTAAGGAAAACTACAAACCACTGCTCAACGAAATACAAGAGGACACAAACAAATGGAAGAACATTCCATGCTCATGGGTAGGAAGAATCAATATCGTGAAAATGGCCATACTGCCCAAGGTAATTTATAGATTCAATGCCATCCCCATCAAGCTACCAATGACTTTCTTCACAGAATTGGAAAAAACTAAAGTTCATATGGAATCAAAAAAAGAGCCCATATTGCCAAGACAATCCTAAGCAAAAAGAACAAAGCTGGAGGCATCACGCTACCTGACTTCAAACTATACTACAAGGCTACAGTAACAAAAACAGCATTTTACTGGTACCAAAACAGAGATATAGACCAATGGAATGGAACAGAGGCCTCAGAAATAACGCTAAACATTTACAACCATCTGATGTTTGACAAACCTGACAAAAACAAGAAATGGGAAAAGGATTCCCTATTTAATAAATGGTACTGGCTAGCCATATGTAGAAAGCTGAAACTGGATCCCTTCCTTCACCTTATAGAAAAATTAATTCAAGATGGATTAAAGACTTAAATGTTAGACCTAAAACCATAAAAACCCTAGAAGAAAACCTAGGCAATACCATTCAGGACATAGGCATGGGCAAGGACTTCATGTGTAAAACACCAAAAGCAATGGCAACAAAAGCCAAAATAGACAAATGGGGTCTAATTAAACTAAAGAGCTTCTGCACAGCAAAAGAAACTACCATCAGAGCGAACAGGCAACCTACAGAATGGGAGAAAATTTTTCCAATCTACCCATTTGACAAATAGCTAATATCCAGAATCTACAAAGAACTTAAACCAATTTACAAGAAAAAAACAAAGCCATCAAAAAGTGGACAAAGGATATGAACAGACACTTTTCAAAAGAAGACATTTATGCAGCCAACAGACACATGAAAAAATGCTCATCATTACTGGTCATCAGAGAAATGCAAATCAAAACCACAATGAGATAGCATCTCACACCAGTTAGAATGGCGATCATTAAAAAGTCGGGAAACAACAGGTGCTGGAGAGGATGTGGAGAAATAGGAATGCTTTTACACTGTTTGTGGGAGTGTAAACTAGTTCAACCATTGTGGAAGTCAGTGTGGCAATTCCTCAAGTATCTAGAACTAGAAATACCATGTGACCCAGTGATCCCATTACTGGGTATATACCCAAAGCATTATAAATCATGCTGCTATAAAGACACATGCACATGTATGTTTATTGCGGCACTCTTCACAATAGCAAAGACTTGGAACCAACCGAAATGTCCATCAATGATAGACTGGATTAAGAAAATGTGGCATACATACACCATGGAATACTATGCTGGCATAAAAAATGATGAGTTCATGTCCTTTGTAGTGACGTGGATGAAGCTGGAAACCATCATTCTGAGCAAACCTTCGCAAGGACGGAGAACCAAACACCGTGTGTTCTCACTCATAGGTGGGAATTGAACAACGAGAACACTTGGACACAGAGTGGGTAACATCACATGCTGGGGCCTATTGTGGGGTGGGGGGATGGGTAGGGATAGCATTAGGAGAAGTACCTAATGTAGATAATGAGTTAATGGGTGCAGCAAACCAACATGGCACATGTATACATATGTAACAAACCTGCAAGTTGTGCACATGTGCCCTAGAACTTAAAGTATTAAAAAAAAATACACTTAAGAAATGTGCTCAGAACACTTACATTAGCCAGTCCAAAAAAAAAATCTAACCTAAAGCCTATTTTTAAATAAAGTGTTGAATATCACATGTAAATTATTAAATACTGAATGTGAAAAACGGAATGGGTATATGGGTAATAAAAGCATTGTTTCTACTGAATGTTTATCACTTTTGTACCATGATAAAGCTGTAAAGTTGTACCATTGTAAATCTGGGACCATCTGTGTTACATTCAAGAGAAAAGCTCAGTCGAACTAATAAATAAATCAAAATTTCTTCTGATTATTTAGGTGTTTTTTCCTGTTAGATAATTAAGACATCCAACTGTTGCTTGCTGCTTCACCACACAGACCATACACAGATACAAATACACACTCCATGAATGAGCATATGTGCTTGTTTAAAGAGACATACTAACCAAACAGTTGTATGCTGCCGTGATATTGATTATGTCATCAAGTTCCTTATTTAACAAAACAGAACTGTGTATGAAGTATTTCTCTAAAATGTACATTCAATAGCAACTGGTTTTGTTCAGTCTTATGTACCCATATTATTTAAATGAGCACCTGGAGTCTAGAATTAACTAAAAAATATCTATGTTGATGCATATTAAGTTGATTTTGAAGTCATAAATTTTGACAAGAATTGATACTATGGCACTGTCATAACTTTACAAAAGATGACCTGAACTAACATGATTTTATGCTTTTACCAGTGGAACTCCCTGAAATATATTCAGATAATTTGTTATTAAAGCAAAACTAAGTTTATTGAAACCCTGTGCCAAGAAAGTACACCATTTTGACATACTTTTGCAGTGTTTCAGCAGGGAAGAGTGAGAGGAAGATTTTTCATGTTTGTGGAGAATGGCTTAAGAGAGTTAAATGAGTCTTTCAAAGTGAGTAGCTGATTGAAATTGAGCTAAACTCAGAGCATAATAGTTTAGATAGTCTAAGAAATTGAAAAAAAAGTTGATGCCAAGCATACAAGAAATAACACCACCAAAAAATAGACCTAAATACAGACAAAATTAGATTAAAAACAAGAATATGTTCAATGTTAATAAAAGCAAAAGGAACATAGACATAGTTATGGAGGAGTTTTGTTTTGTTTTAATAAGATAAAAATATGGTTAGTTTTATAGCAATACACCTGGAAATCTGGATCAATTCTGTCCACTATAGTCATTACTAGTGACATGTAGATATTGAACACTTGAAATATGGTGGATTTGAATTGATTTATGCTATATGTAAAATACAAACTAGATTTAGTTTAAAAAATGTAAAACTGAATAATTTTAATATTGTTTTATGCTGAGATGACAATATTTTGGATATACTGGATTAAATACATATAAAATATTGTTAAAAATCAAGTAGTATAGTAAAATTGGTCTTTTTGTTTTACTTTTTTATTTTGTTTTGGTTTTTGAAGGGATAGAAATCATGGCTAAGATGGACCCTGGGGCATATCATTGACCATCATGAAACATGCACTGATTTGCCAAATGTATTATTTTCCTGTGGCTGTTATAAAAATCACAATACACTTAGTAGTTTAAAACAACATAAATTTATTGTCTAGCAGTATTCCAGGTTAGAAGTTCAACACAGGTCTTACTGATTTAAAATCAAAGCATTGGAAGACTGCATTCCTTCTATAGGCTCTGTGGAATAATCCATGACCTGGCCTTTCCCAGGCTTTAGAATCCAGCTGCATTCTTTGATGCATGTTCCCTGTCTTGGGCAGCTTGGAATACTGTAAGAAAATACCATAGACCGGGTGACTTAAACAACTGACATTTATTTCTCAGAGTTCTGAAAGTTGGGAAGTCCAAGATTAAGGTGCTGGTATATTTGGTTCGTGGTGAGGGCCCACTCCCTCTCTGGTTAGTAGATGGCCTCCTTCTCTCTGTGTTCACATGGCCTTTCCTGGATACATGTTTACGGAGAGAGAAAGAGAAGGGTGGTTGGGTGGGAGGTGGTCTAGTATCTCCACCTTTTCTTATAAGAACACTAACATTATCATGAGAACACCACACTTAGGACATTATCTCAACCTAGGTTCCTCCCAAAAGCTCCATCTCCAGATACTATCACACTGCCAATTAATAGATCATTGAAAATAATCTATGAATATTTGAACAATGCCAATCATCTTCAATAGATTAATTTTAGGGAGACACAAATATTCAGTTCATAACAGTTCCTTTCCTTGACCTTCAAAGCTACAAATGAAGGAGCAAGTCTTCACATTCTCCTTTTATATCTCCCTCTTCTACGTGTAAAGAATCTTATGATTGCATTTGGCCATCTAAAAATCTATGATAGTCTCTCCATTTCAAAATCCTTAACTCTAATTGCATTTGCAAAGTCTGTCCTGCCAGGTAAGCTAACAAATTTATAAATTATCTGGATTAAGACCGCATCATCTCTGAAGAGCCATTATTCTGACTACCACATCAGTATGTTAGTTTATGTCAAGATTGCTGTAATAATCAATAGGTTCTGGTACCACAAATCCAGTAGCAGTCATTAAGGTTGATTGAGTTTATTGATTGCTTTCAGCTCCATTCTGCTATTAATCACTTTTGGGGATATAAAATGAAGACCTTATCACATAGAGGAAGAGGTAGATGTGATAGGAGCTTGAATATGTAATAAGAATTTTTTATGATATGTAAATGTGAGAAATGAATTAAGTATGTGCCATTTGTTCTCTTCTTTTTAAGACATTTCTTTCTAAAGGTTTAGTGACAGAAGTTGCATTCTATTAAAGATCCCTAAGTGCTGTTCTGCTGTAGGCATAAGCTTTCTTTCCTGGGTGCAGCATGTTAGGATTTAAGATTTCTATTTATCTAATACTCTGCTGTTTGTCAGATAAAATAACAATAAATAGTGAGTCCAATTATTGATAAACCCAGATGTTTCATATTTAGGAATCGATGTTAAAAAAAAAAAACTCTAATTGGCATCCTAAGGAAAATGTGTGCAGCTTAGCACTGATTCAACTGCATGTTTAGCCAAATTGTGAACAAATTACGGCCAGCTTCCGGACTCTTCTAGAGAGTGACTAAGGACGGCATAGAGGAATTAGGAATAGTAGCTTTATAGGTAAAGTAATTAAATGTAACCTTAAGCATAAAAAGATAAAGTTAACTAGGAAAATGAAAACTCAAGATATACAGATTAAATATGACAAACAATGGATCTTTTTTTGTGGATCTTGGTTTGCAGATACCGATATCTCATATAGTGATTCACTTGATCCAAAGGCATTTGATGGAAGCTGTCTTCTCCCAAAGACTATTTGCTTTTGGAAGAATCCTAAGAGTCGTTAGTTAGAAGTTTTTGGTAGGGATACTTTCCTGTAATATGAAGATGACCTAAACCTCTTTACTTGAGAGATAGGAATCAAAGGATCAGTCTTTTAAAGACTATGGGTTTGCTAGTTGTTAGCTGTGCCTGATAGTGACTTTTTTCCTATGATCTTTCCCTGCCGTGTCTCTTAGAAGACAAGGTATCCAGGTATGAAAACCAATTTTGCAGACATTGTTTAGGATACTAATGGGGAAAGTCTTCAGTAACTTTTGTTGAAAGAATGGATTTCCTGAGTCCTTACAGCATTTAGTTAAATAAGTGTAGATTTCTAGAATCAGAGCTAATATTCCTAGACACTTGGTTTAGCTGTTACTAACTCATGAACCACAGAAAGAAGAAATACCTTAGACCATGCAAGTTTGACGATCTCTGTGAACTTTACCAACTTTAGTTTCAGAATTCCATCTTTCTACCTTCCCAAAAGGTTGAAAGTGATATGGACAGTGAAGTCTGATTAATTGACAGAACTTTTCCATGTTAATAAAAATTCCGGTAAAATGGTTTCCTTGTTACTAGAGATATAGTTTGGGATTCCCCAGGCTGAAAAAAAAAAAAAGGATTTTCTCCATGCCAACAAGAGACAAATAATGATCAGAACATATTTAAAATCTATTGCCAGCACTTGTTATGAAAAATTCATTTAGATTTTTACTGAGACATTTTACAGTTTTGTTAGGATTAATCTGACGAAGGTTGAGACAAGTTGTAAGGATATAGTTATATAAAGATATACTTACCAATTTTAGCAAAATTTTCCCCCAGCTATTGGTTAAATACATTGGTCAATTTGTCCTCATTGTGCCAGAAAAGCTCAGCAGTTCTGACTAAAGTTTATGTTAACCCATTGCCAGTAGAATGAAAGAGTTGAATCCTCTCTTAAATTATAATATATAGTTGACTCCTCAACAACACAGGTTTGAACTGTGCAGGTCTGCTCATATGTAGATTTTTTCCTATAAATATATTAGAAAATTTTTGGAGATTTATGAAAAATTGAAAAAGATAACAGGTGACCCATCTACACAAGAAATATTAAAAAACTAAGAAAACGATGTCATGAATGCATAAATCATATGTAGATACTAGTGATCATTTAATACAATGAAATATATATGCGTCTATTATAAAAAGTTAAAATTTATCAAGACGTAGGCAAACACAGAGCATACATGCAGCCAATTGAAGTTTAGAGAAAAGTAAAACAAAAATATACAAAAGTAAATCATAACTGCACAAAATTAACTGTAGTACATACTGTACTACTGGGATAATTTCCTAGCCTCCACCTGTTGTTCTTGCAGTGAACTCAAGTGTTGTGAGTATTCACTTAAAATGCCACATAATGCTAATCATCTTCTTGTGAGTAGCTTGTCTCTCCAGTAAATTAACACAGTAAAAAGTGTTCTCTCATGTTTCTCCTGTATTATTCATGATGTCTAGTGCAATACCATAAACCTTGAATAACACCTTCAGACCTATAAAAAGTGCTGCTAGTGATGCTGAAAGTTCTTCCAGGAAACAGAGAAGGGTCCTGACATTACAGGAAAACAATGAATTGCTTGATAGGTACCCTAGATTGAGGCCTGCAGCTGTGTGTGCTGCCATTTCAGAAGAAGGATCCATCTTGTAAACACAGGATTGTAAACTTATGAGAGAAATAAATATACTGTAGTACTGTAAACGTATTTTTTCTTCCCTATAATTTTCTTAATAACACTTTCTTTTCTGTAACTAGCTTCATTGTAAAACTACGGTGTAAAATACATACAGCGTATGAAATATGTGTTAAGGATTGTCCAGTCAACAGTAGGCTGTTAGTTTAGTTTTGGGGAGTCCAAAGTTATATGTGAATTTTTGACTGTGCTGGGGTGGTGGGGAGGGGTTAGGGAGGTTTGATGGCCCTAAACCTTGTGTTTTTCAGGAGTCAACTGTACAATTTAGAAGAATATGATTTAGAATTTCCCTGAGATTAAGAACATATTAAATGGTGGGAAGGATATTGATAGACCTCTAGATCTAGTGACACTATCAACTTTGACTGTGTCTGTTTGATGAAGGAATTAAAATCTAGTAACAAAAGCATTTTGTAGATAGTTATTGTACCAGTCTTTGTTCTTGAACATCAGTGTGTTTTTTTGAACTGAAAATCACACATTGAATGAAAGGCTTCATCTCAATATATTTTATTTACACATAAATTTGAGCTGTTTTTTGTTCACAAGTTTGGCCGATAAAAGAGCCCTCACAATAGCTTTAATTACCATTTAAAATTACAAATTAATGTGATTTTTTAATTTTTCTCTCTTTTGTAGGGTGAAGGAGCAATGCTTTTGGTTACTCAGTATTCTCTCAAGAAAATTTAAAGATAGTTTATACACAGAAGATATTTTAACAGGTTATATTCTGAACTTGTGGCCCGGATTTGGAAAAAGCAATATCAAGTATGGTTCAAGGGGACAAGAAAGAGAGAAGCATTTGTTACCATTTTTCCAAGTCAAAAATATTTAATCAGATAATATTTTAAAAGCCAGCAATAATTAGTAATGATTGGTATAATGTTTTTGTCAAAATTATTAAATAGGAGATAAAATTAAAAGCTTTATTTTTTTGCATTCAAATAAAATTTTAAGTATTTTGATGAGCTTATTAAATCAACAGTGCATGTATTACATTGAACCTGACTTCTTAATAAGTTGCAACCAAATCTTTAATGATAAGTTTAGGTCAGAGAGATAATTTTGAGATTTGTCACCATAAAGATAGGGTATAATGTGATGTAAATAATTAAGATCAGGTGGAAAGACAAATAAGATTGAAGGAAGACCCAAGACCAAGGTTTGGGGCACTCTCAGAAGTTCTAAAAAAAAAATTTAGACTATGAGTAAAGAAGGATTGATCAGCAAGGTGAAATGGATCAAGGAAATGTGGGCACTCAGAGGTACAGAGGGGTTAATTGCTGCTCAGAAAATACTCAGACGAATGCTGAACAATAGATTAGATAGAACCGATGTCCTAGAAATCATGAAGATAAGTGACTTTATTAAAATACATATTATAAACAAAGAAGGAATTTACTGTTCGAAAAGTTGTCTTGAAGAATTGTTTTGGGAGAAAATAAAAAATAAACCTTATTTTCTAAAATACACTAAAACTAATTCCAAATGAGTCAAAGGATTGTGTACAGATATTTTAAATTAATAAAACAATGTTAGTGCAGATTCTCTTTAATTACTTCCCTGATTGTTTTACCTATAGTAACTCATTTAATTCTACTAGCAATCTTTTCATGTTGGATACAGCTATTCAAATTTTCTTTTGTTATTGCAATAGCCTCCTAACCATTCTTCCACAAAATTGAGGCACTAAAAGGTTGTGAAATTTCCTCTATGCCACAGAGCTTTTTAGTGATGATTTGGCATTTGGAAGCACATCTTTGAAATGTTCATTTTTCTCTGATGGCCAGTGATGGTGAGCATTTCTTCATGTGTTTTTTGGCTGCATAAATATCTTCTTTTGAGAAGTGTCTGTTCATGTCCTTCGCCCACTTTTTGATGGGGTTGTTTGTTTTTTTCTTGTAAATTTGTTTGAGTTCATTGTAGATTCTGGATATTAGCCCTTTGTCAGATGAGTAGATTGTGAAAATTTTCTCCCATTCTGTAGGCTGCCTGTTCACTGTGATGGTAGTTTCTTTTGCTGTGCAGAAGCTCTTTAGTTTAATTAGATCCCATTTGTCAATTTTGGCTTTTGTTGCCATTGCTTTTGGTGTTTTAGACATGAAGTCCTTGCCCACGCCTGTGTCCTGAATGGTAATGCGTAGGTTTTCTTCTAGGGTTTTTATGGTTTTAGGTCTAACGTTTAAGTCTTTAATCCATCTTGAATTAATTTTTGTATAAGGTGTAAGGAAGGGATCCAGTTTCAGCTTTCTCCATATGGCTAGCCAGTTTTCCCAGCACCATTTATTAAATAGGGAATCCTTTCCCCATTGCTTATTTTTCTCAGGTTTGTCAAAGATGAGATAGTTGTAGATATGCGGCGTTATTTCTGAGGGCTCTGTTCTGTTCCATTGATCTATATCTCTGTTTTGGTACCAGTACCGTGCTGTTTTGGTTACTGTAGCCTTGTAGTATAGTTTGAAGTCAGGTAGCGTGATGCCTCCAGCTTTGTTCTTTTGGCTTAGGATTGACTTGGCAACGCGGGCTCTTTTTTGGTTCCATACGAACTTTAAAGTAGTTATTTCCAATTCTGTGAAGAAAGTCATTGGTAGCTTGATGGGGATGGCATTGAATCTATAAATTACCTTGGGCAGTATGGCCATTTTCACGATATTGATTCTTCCTACCCATGAGCATGGAATGTTCTTCTATTTCTTTGTATCCTCTTTTATTTCATTGAGCAGTGGTTTGTAGTTCTTCTTGAAGAGGTCCTTCCCATCCCTTGTAAGTTGGATTCCTAGGTATTTTATTCTCTTTGAAGCAATTGTGAATGGGAGTTCACTCATGATTTGGCTCTCTGACTGTCTGTTATTGGTGTATACAAATGCGTGTGATTTTTGTACATTGATTTTGTAACCTGAGACTTTGCTGAAGTTGCTCATCAGCTTAAGGAGATTTTGGGCTGAGACAATGGGGTTTTCTAGATATACAATCGTGTCATCTGCAAGCAGGGACAATTTGACTTCCTCTTTTCCTAATTGAATACCCTTTCTTTCCTTCTCCTGCCTAATTGCCCTGGCCAGAACTTCCAACACTATGTTGAATAGGAGTGGTGAGAGAGGACAAATCAAAACCACAGTGAGATACCATCTCACACCAGTTAGAATGGCAATCATTAAAACGTCAGGAAACAACAGGTGCTGCAGAAGATGTGGAGAAATAGGAACACTTTTCCACTGTTGGTGGGACTGTAAACGAGTTCAACCATTGTGGAAGTCAGTGTGGCGATTCCTCAGGGATCTAGAACTAGAAATACCATTTGACCCAGCCATCCCATTACTGGGTATATACCCAAAGGACTATAAATCATGCTGCTATAAAGACACATGCACACGTATGTTTATTGCGGCACTATTCACAATAGCAAAGACTTGGAACCAACCCAAATGTCCAACAGTGATAGACTGGATTAAGAAAATGTGGCACATATACACCATGGAATACTGTGCAGCCATAAAAAATGATGAGTTCATGTCCTTTGTAGGGACATGGATGAAATTGGAAATCATCATTCTCAGTAAACTATCACAAGGACAAAAACCCTAAGACCGCATGTTCTCACTCATAGGTGGGAATTGAACAATGAGAACACATGGACACAGGAAGGGGAACACCACACGCTGGGGACTGTTGTGGGGTGGGGGAAGGGGGGAGGGAAAGCATTAGGAGATATATCTAATGCTAAATGACGAGTTAATGGGTGCAGCACACCAGCATGGCACATGTATACATATGTAACTAACCTGCACATTGTGCACATGTACCCTAAAACTTGAAATATAATAATAATAAAATTTAAAAAAAAATGTTCATTTTTAATTATAGCACTACACCATGCACTGAATCACGGAGGGTAAAAATGCACACTGTTAATAAGAAGGAGGGAGTCAATCTCATTAGTATTATAATATTTATACTGAATGAGACTCCATTCCCGAAATTCACAGAATTAAAATAATAAAAATAAAAATTTATTGCTAGCCAATTTGCAGCAAAAAAGATTCATTCTCATATTCTGCTATGAGAAAATAAATGAAATTGAATTTTAAAAGACATTTTTGGAAAGCCCTTTGAATTAACCAGAAAATTGTTAAATTCGTAGTTTTTTTGACTAACATTCTTCTTCCACGTTAACAGAATTTATATATAAGTGACACTCATTGCATATACTTTTAAGGGGTAAAATAATTACTAAATTTATGTACACTATTAATACTTCATTGTATAAAATTGCATATATACCCATATGCAAATGTGCACAGAATCAATAGGGTAACCATAGACATAAAATGATCAGTGCAGGATATTTTATTTATGCATTTTATATATAATATACTTTTCATTTAATATTTTTGCTAATTTTATTGAATTGAATATTTATGCCTTGGTTATAGAACAACTAAATTTATTTTCAAAGAAACTCCATTATTATTGTCTGCAAGAGTAAAACTTACAAACAATCTAAAAATTCAACCAAATACAACCATTTACAATTGTGCCCTAGTTGAATTTGTAATCGTAGGAGAAAACACAGGTGTTGAATTTTTTGAGTTTCATTTAAAAAATAATTGACACAATCCCTAAGGTATCATATAAATTAATTGAATTGTTATTGTCTTGGGTTAACATTTATTTCTAGAGTTTTTTTTCCCCTAATATCTGATTTTTTCCATTAACATTACTTATTTGGATAATCAGAAAAAAATCAACATTGCCAAAAGATAGATAATACCACAAGCGAAATATCTATGATAATGATAGGAAAATGCTTTGAATTCAGGCTGAATGAGAATTAGTCTAGGAAAACAGCTTGGACCCTCTCATTCCTGTTAATGTCATCTCTGTGTTTAGCACTGCTGCTATTCCTCAGCTACTAAGAAATGCTCTATTGCTGGGCATGGCATATGGGAAGCCAAGAAAAATGACTGGCTGCTTGGTGACAGCTCTCTAGTCCTCATGCCAAGTTCTGCCAGTGATTTAAATATTAAGTAATGGAAAGAATTTTGAAATCCAGGATGATTAGAAAAGTCATTTTCTACAAAAGTGAAGCATTGTCTTTAGAGATTAAAATCTATGAAAATAACATTATTGAAATACTAGACTTCAGACTATTTTTCTGAATTACTGTAACTGTTGAAATAGGTCTTTCAGCCCATTAAGATAAACACCACACTTTTCTCTTCATGATCTCCAGCTGTAATTTTATAGTGAAAGGTGCTTGCATAAAAGAGTTCACACTATCTGAAAGATGTCACATGTAACATTGACTGGCAGCCATTTCAGAATGGCAGACAGCCAATAAATCATTCAGAACTATGTGTCACTCGTTGTGGCTTTAAAATTGTATTCCTTCTCCTTTGATAAAGAACATTTCAATGTCAAATAGTTTGTTCTATTTAAACTTATACATCAACCAGAATATTGAGATACACAATAAAATTAAATGATTTGGTAATACCTTTAGAATTTATCTAAAAACAGCCGTATGTATTTGCATGACAGATTTGGTTCACAAACGGATCAAGTTGTTAGTATCAAAGGCATGTTTTAGTGCTGATTTGTGTATAGATAAATTTAGGAAATTACATAAATAGAAATACTTCTTTATAAAATTCCTTGACCTTGTGATATCTTGGTATTAAGAATCTTAAAGGAATCATTTAAAAAAATTCAAAAGCAAACAATTTCGATTTTACAAGAGCTAAGAAAAAAACATTTTGCTATGGACACAGATCGCTCTTCAAGAAAAGATTTCTTTCCCCCTTGGCTGCTAGGAGCAATATTACAAAGCAGCCTTCAGCTCTCAGCTCCTTCAAAGTTTGCCTCAGCTGTAACCATTGTCTGGCTCAATGTTAGGGCATCCTGGAGCACTGGACATGCAAACACGAATGGAGATGAGGTTATAAAGCCTGGCCATTTTGACCCACCTGAGAGGATTCTGACAGGTCCTTCCAGTGCCTGAGAAACCCAGGGCTCACATGCTTTATATTCTGATCATTCTGTAGGGGTTGTTCCCATGGGTGATAGAAGCTGCCAAATATAAAGAGGCAACCATGCAAATTTTTAGGAATTATTTCCAAAACTCTCATAACAACATCATATATATTTATTGGTTGTTTAAGTAGATTTCTGAGGAGTAGATAGCAACGATAGAAGTGAAAGAAAGTAAATGCAGTTGTTAAAGGATTAGTCTTCCCATACTTAGAAAGTACACAAGTTGCATATACACTATGTTCCTTCCCTAGAGCAAGTATTTCAATGCAGTCATGTGTGTGTGTTTGTGTGCTTGTGTGTGTGTGGTGTGTGTGTGTGTGTGTGTATGCTAACTGAACTCATTATAGATTTTATTGGATCAGATATATGAAGAGACTTGGAAGACTTGGGTTTGTCTGGAACTGGGTGAAATAGAGAAGGACGATCATTGACATAGAAAGCTGATTACTTTGTCCTTTGAGTATAAATAGTCTTACAATAAAATGGCATCTCCACTGTCTAAAACACATTTTTACATTTGCTCTCCTTCTGAAATTATTTATGTGAAATTAACAAATGTACTTATTACCTTAGAAACAAACGATCCGTAATTTATATTATTTATTGTATATTTGTAGATCCACTTAAAATTGATTTGCAATATAAGGAAAAAATGCGTTTTATAAGTTGTTTGCTTTGTGTAGTGCATCTTGTTAACCGTAGGACTACTGTTGCATTGAAACAAAATAGAATTAATCTGTTCAGGTAAATAGAACTGGAAGTGAGATTTGTTGTCACTCCTTCTCCTTCAAGTACTGACCAGTCTTTTAATTCACACATAACTAACACTCTGTGCAATAATATTTTTTTGTTCTCTGTCTTTTCAAACAGAACTCAAGCTCCATGAGGAGATGTTTCATTGTCGGTGAGCACATTCTTGTCAATTAGTTCCTTCTTGTTTCTTACTATAGCCCCTGTGTCTAGAACCTTTCCAGGTATTCAGTAGCCATTTAAAAATTATTTGTTGAATGAATTGTTATTTTAAAGAACATCCACAATTTTGCCTGACTGGGCATGGGAATACATGCCCATCTTTGGACTGAATGTCCATTTTTCCCTTCTTTGATTTATCAAAATATTGGTTAAATGATCAGGACTACCGTCAGAAGGAATTTTATATCTAAAAATAGTTTACCTTCTATGGATGTAAAAAATAGTTGTAGTAGTTCTGGCTTTTATATTATTCGATGTTTCAAAGCGGTTTTTTTTTTCCATCACCATATTCTACGTTCTTGAAAAGTACTCGTTCATGTGACTGCTATCATTTATGCTTGTGCAGCACGTAGATACAGGAGAGAAGATAAGGAAAATGCTTACCCTGTGTCTCCTTCCCTGTAACACAGTTTTTTTTACCATATTGATTCTCCACTTTCTACTCCCTAAGTAAAATTTTGCAACAGGCATTTGGGAAACTCTGGATACAAGAAAAAAATTTTAATATTGTACAAAGAGACAAGAGGTGACTTCTTTTTTATTTTTCATTTAGAGTTTATAGTTTAATTAAAGAAAATGCACATATATCTAAAGATAATCATGGATAATACACTCATGTAATTACTACTTTCAGTGGTTGTAACAACAGCCAAAGCACAAACAGAAATGAGAAAGAATTATCAGCATTATGCAAGTACATATCCTCTTTAAGAATTCCTGTTATAGTGAAAGCATTAAAATAATTGAACACGTACAGAGACCATATACTTTGTGATCTTTTTAAAAAAGTATTCAAAATATATTTCTGTGTGCAAAACATTTTCATAATGGTCTTGTTTAAATGAAAGTATTTAGAATAGCACATTGTAAAATTATGCTGCAGAGCACAAGTATTTTTCTCTTTAGAAGACACATAATAAAATAGAATCATCAGTGTTTTTTCATAAACATGAATCTTTAGAGTGTTACTTGATCCTGCATAATAAGGGTACTTTTTTGCTTAATGTAAGCATAGTATACTAATTCTTTTAAACTTCAGAAAGCATATTTACAGTCTAGGCAGATGGGACATGAAGGTCACACAGCATGAGCAGTGAAATATCTCATTTACCTAGAGTTCTAGAGAGAATTTTAGGAACTCTTATTTATTATCAGTGCATAAACAAGAGTAAACTCTACAAAACTGTTTGCAAAACTCTCCTCTTTCTACTCAGAAGGCTTTCCCTAGAATAATCATTATGGAGTCTGTCCATCCTTTACTCATTCACTGCATGGGGACAGGTGTTAGTTATGAGATTGGTGAATTTAGAAAGCTAACCAATTTCATACCTATTTTGGGATTCTCAATTCACAAACTTTTGTGCGTTTCTTAATTATTTCCTTTCTTTTTCTTGTAGAGAGCAGTCATGATGGCCTGCACTCCACACAATGCAACAGAGTGAAAGAGCAGGTTCTGCTTCTTTGGTGTAGTCCTGAAGCTTCCTAAGAAACTTCACATCAGGTGATGGATAGGAGCAACCCTGTAAAACCAGCCTTAGACTATTTTTCAAACAGTAAGTAATAAAGGTGACGTTTTGATCTTTATCTGCTTAATTACTTCTGCTATGATTCTATTGATTCTAACATTGAAGGAGCAGTAAATTTATATGTATTATCCAACTATAAAACAATAAATAAACGATATGTCAAATACATTATCACATCCTTATGTTCTTATGATAATATTGTCCTTTTTTTAACAGTTTTTATTCTTATTTGTTGATTGGTTTGTCTTTATGTTGTCCTTTCTACTATCAAACTGAACATGTTGAGGTCATAGGCTATCAAAACTGTACATTTCTGATGCTAACCATAGAGACTTAACAACAGTAAATAGGCCAAAATGGAATGTTGTTAGCCATAGTGTGTATTATTATTTCTTTTATACATGTGGTCACTGTTAGAGGAGTTTATGACTTTTTGCCTAGATTAATGACACACAAACCATCTACAAACGAATCATACCTTATTCCCTCACTGTAATTTTTAATGTTGCTATTTTTGCCTGTTAACATTCCATAGGTTTATCACATTGCTTAAAGATTTAATTTAATTTCTGTAATTGTATATGTCATGAGAGATTGCTTTTAACCTTCCAATGTTCGTGGTCTCATTTTCACTAACATAATCCCAACTTTAGCTGCGCACAATACCACATTTCCCAGCATTCCTTGCATCTGGATATAGCTGTATTCAAATAAGCCGTGTGAAACTTCTGGGATGGCTCCTTAAGTGCAGTTGACTCATTAGGGAGGTATGTCTTTTTTATTTTTCTACACTTTGTGCTGCTGTCCTGGAGTACAGACATGGTGGCTAGAAGCATGAAATCACCTTGAAGGTAGAAGTCATGCATTGAAGTTAGTAAAAGTGAAATGTAAGTGTATAGTTTCCTGATGAAAATGGGAAGCTTATGTACTAGCAACAGAATGCTTATTATGCAGGCTTCCTATATGTAAAAGAGGACAAATTCTCATTTTATTAAGTTTCTGAAAGTAGATTTCTAAATGCTGGTTCTATTTTTTATTGAAAGTAATGGCAAAAAACGCAATGCCTTTTGTACCAACCTAATAGTTAATAAACATATCCTCAAATGAAATGTCTTAGAATTGTGTTCATCAAGTTAATATTAATAATTTATTAGAATAGCACTCTAAAGGGTTGCAGCCTATGCATGAAAATACTTACAAACTACTACATGATAATCAATTCTTTTTGGCAAGACTGCTATTTACATGGACACAAGAGTTATTATAAGAATGTTGTATGTATACATGAATAGTGTCTGTTAAACACTGGATATAATAAAAACAATAGTTTTTCTGTTAATTATAACAATCTGAACATTTTTGTGATTATATTTCACAAATGACACACCATTTTATTTGCAGATTTTTCTTATCCCCAAAGTTTTTGTTAATTTATTACCAACACAGCACACAAGTCTAGTGGCAATGCATTACCTCTGCAGTTGATTTTGAAGTAAGAAGGCCTATTTATTGCATTCATTCCTGCTTAGATGACATCTTAAATTTGTTAATTGGATTATTATGCTCTATTCTATAAATTTATTGATTTATAGATTTTGTGGACACAAATTTCAAAACATATTCGAAAATTTGGTGATAGCTTTTTAGAATCTATTCTTCAACATAGTTATTGAAAGTGAACAAGAAGGACCTCCTCTAGAGATTAGGTTGAGAACCACTTCTTTGATTTGTTAAATATGTGTACATGGATACCATGTGGCTTTATTATGAGGAGCCACTTAAGTGGCTGAGTTACAATTCACAAAACATTGTCACAGGGAAAATATCAGGACAAATTTTCAAGTCGCATGCCAAGAAAAGAGACTTTCTGAATGCTTATAAGAAATACCTTAATTAATGGGAGCCCTTCAAAGTACACAAAACATCATAACTAGGAGTTGCAACACAACCAGCAATTTGCTGATTGAAATGCATTCATTCATACTGACTTCACCTGCTGAATGGAATATTGTGCTGTACTGTCCTTAGCTATGGAGAGAGAATTAAGGAATATCCCCTTCTGGTGTTCAACAACAACGAAAGAGCAAGAAAGATATATTCCTAATTTTTAAAGAAGAATGTAGAGATACTTAAACAAGACAATGAAGGTGGTAGAAAGATTATTACCATCCCCAAAGTGTTTGCTCATTAAAACATTTTGTGATTTTCTCTGCCAATATCATACCTGTATGGATAATTGTTTTCCTATCCACACAGTTATGAGAGTGAGAAGATGGAATATAAAAGATGGAACAAGAGGGAATCTGTGTGGTGACCACAGTAATCACAGGCTGGTTGGGATCCTAAACTCGGCCACAGCACAAAAGCATGTTCAAGTTTAAAGTCATGAGAGAGGCCTGGCATAGTGGCTCACACCTATAATCCCTGCACTTTGGGAGGCCAAGGTGGGAGGATTGCTTGGGGCAAAGAGCTCAAGATCAGCCTGGGCAACATAGTGAGATCCCATCTAAAAAAATGTTCTTTAAGTTAGCCTTATGTGGTGGCATGTTCCTGTGGTATCAGCTACTCAGGTGGCTGAAGTGGGAGGGTCACTTGAGCCTGGAGGTTGAGCCATAATCATGCCACTGCACTCCAGCCTTGGTGACAGATTAAGACTCTGTCTCCAAAAGTAAAACACCAAACAACACAAAAAGTAAAGTCACAATAAAATGAGATGCTATTAAGGTTGTTTTAGGTTGATTTTCAACTAGACCAGCATTTAGCCTGTACAAAGGCATATACAAAATAAACCCTAAACCTAAATGGGATTCAGCAGCAGCAGTGTGGGTTAAAGAAGCCACCAGTTCCCTGGAGGCCAGAACCACAGGCCTGTGGCCTTTTTTATTGTTTTGACAGGGAGGTGGAAAGCAGGAGTATAACTACATTCAAGTGTCTGCTCTGTTGCTGTAGGAGAAAATCCGTGCTGTAGCACATCAAAGTTTTTCCAAATTTTATTTCTTAGGACATCTTTGGGGTTTATGTAAGTATTAAATAGAGCTCCCCTAGCCCAGGCTTACACAGGACATATGTCTAGTGTCATAGGTCTGTATGCTTAAATTATAGCAGAAAGTTTGCTAAAATTTAAGTGAAGTAATGTTGAAGGTTGAATCATTTGAAACAAACTACCTGCACCAAAATATTCTTTAGTGTACTGATTTCTGTCCCACCCCTAATGAGGCTGAATTTTAATCTTAACTCTGCTTGTAATTAGGTATTTATATGTGTCTGTTATTCATTTTTTAACAAGATGTCTCTTCAGAGATAAAATGAGGGTAGCAAAAAATAATTTTAATAGCCATTTATATGGCTTTGATAACAATTGTCTGTTCTACTTATCTGACTGATTCTAAACTCTAAAGGTTATTTTACAGTTAGTAAATTACATAATTTTTATGCAACAATTTGCCTGCCAGGATTCCTATAATACTTGTCAGCTATCAGTAGGTATAAGCCTGTTAGCCTCTAATGTGAAGATAATATCTCTTTAAGTTATAACGCATTTACAATTGTTACAGTTTCTAAGGTCTTTTTGAAGTTAGAGATGCATCTGAGGATGATGGTTTTCAAGGAGATAGCTCTTTGACAAAAAATGACAATATGGGACTTAGTGTTATATTAATTTACACATTATGTTTTTGCTATAAAGATAAAAGGTGTGCTATACTACCTATCAATTACTGTATGCCACATTTTGTAGAATTGTTTTCCATATTATTGTAGAATGTGGCACTTAAATAGTATCATGAAAAAAGTTTATTCAAGAAATAAGACATTAATGAAATATAATTAATATATAAAGACTATATTTAAAAATAATTATGTATTTCTAATCCTAAACTTTTTAAGGTGACATTATTTTTTTCTGTGATATAATTTCAGTTGAGAAGAACTTTAAATTTTAATAAGATTTTAAGATGATTCAGTAATGTTAACATACTTTTCTTCTGTAAATTTTGTTAACAATTTAGCTGCATTAATTAAATATTTATGTAGCTAATTTTAATAGTGATATTTTAATACAATTCTTAATTTTACTCCTGGCTTTCAATCATTCATATATGTTTTTAAAAATTGCTTTTTCCATTGCTTTACTTCTTAATTACTTTTATCAAAGTCTTAATTGTGTGTGGTTGATTTTAAAAGTTAAATATTTCTATAAGATTTATAAAGACAAACTGGGTACAGTGACTCACACCTGTAATCCCAGCACTTTGGGAGGCCGAGGGGGTAGATCACTTGAGGTCAGGAGTTCGAGACCAGCCTGGCCAACATGGTGAAAGCAGTTTCTACTAAAAATACAAAGATATGCCTGGTGTGGTGGTTGGCCCCTGTAATTCCAGCCACTTGGGAGGCTGAGGCAGGAGAATTGCTTGAACCTTGGAAGCGGAGGTTGCAGTGAGCTGAAACCATGCCATTGCACTCCAGCCTGGGCAGCAAGAGCGAAACTCCATCACAAAAAAAAAAAAAAAAAAAAAAAAAAAAAAAAAAATATATATATATATATATATATATATATATATATATATATATATTATATATTATATATATGTATGTATGTATATATAAATGTATATGTGTGTGTATATATATATATATACACACTATATATATATATACACACACACAATAGAAATGTCCTGGCTATATCTATATTAATAGGTTTTGCACATTTAAACCAAAGTCACACATATGGTTTGATTCTAATTAATTCTAATGCATCTTGCAGGTTTCAAACTGTATTCTATTATGTAATTATCTGCTGATCCACTCTGTATCCTGTTGTGTAAGTTGCGATGATTAACCTCTGCCTTTACGATGTAATCCAAATGTAGCATATAGACCTCAATGATAAGATTGATCATGGTGCATTTAATCATTAATTTATTATTAATCTCTTTTATCCTGGTACTTAGAGTGCAGATTTTTCTCAACAACTATTTACGCAATCATTAAATGAAATATAGCCTTGTGTCACTTAGCAATGAGGATATGTTCTGAGAAGTGTGTGGCTAGGTGATTATCTTACTGTGCAAACTTCATAGAGTGATCAATCTATAATGGTGATAGCAATTTTTCAACCCTATTATAATCTTAATGAGCCATTGTTTTACATGCTGTCTCTTATTGATGTAAACGTTGTTATGTGGCACATGATTATATAAAAGATATTAATCCATTCATTATTTATGCATTCATCCATTTGACCTATGGTAGTGTTCTATTGAAAATGAGTCATTGTGATATAGAAATCCACTGTTAGTTGTTTTTACTTTCTCTTGTTCGTGGGGAAGAGTGGGTATTGATTTTAAAAGTCTAAAGAATGGGGTATTGTGAATAGTGCCGCAATAAACATACGTGTGCATGTGTCTTTATAGCAGCATGATTTATAATCCTTTGGGTATATACCCAGTAATGGGATGGCTGGGTCAAATGGTATTTCTAGTTCTAGATCCCTGAGGAATCGCCACACTGACTTCGACAATGGTTGAACTAGTTTACCGTCCCACCAACAGTATAAAAGTGTTCCTATTTCTCCACATCCTCTCCAGCACCTGTTGTTTCCTGGCTTTTTAATGATTGCCATTCTAACTGGTGTGAGATGGTATCTCATCGTGGTTTTGATTTGCATTTCTCTGATGGCCAGTGATGGTGAGCATTTTTTCATGTGTTTTTTGGCTGCATAAATGTCTTCTTTTGCGAAGTGTCTGTTCATGTCCTTCGCCCACTTTTTGATGGGGTTGTTTGTTTTTTTCTTGTAAATTTGTTTGAGTTCATTGTAGATTCTGGATATTAGCCCTTTGTCAGATGAGTAGGTTGCGAAAATTTTCTCCCATTCTGTAGGTTGCCTGTTCACTGTGATGGTAGTTTCTTTTGCTGTGCAGAAGCTCTTTAGTTTAATTAGATCCCATTTGTCAATTTTGGCTTTTGTTGCCATTGCTTTTGGTGTTTTAGACATGAAGTCCTTGCCCACGCCTGTGTCCTGAATGGTAATGCCTAGGTTTTCTTCTAGGGTTTTTATGGTTTTAGGTCTAACGTTTAAGTCTTTAATCCATCTTGAATTAATTTTTGTATAAGGTGTAAGGAAGGGATCCAGTTTCAGCTTTCTCCATATGGCTAGCCAGTTTTCCCAGCACCATTTATTAAATAGGGAATCCTTTCCCCATTGCTTATTTTTCTCAGGTTTGTCAAAGATGAGATAGTTGTAGATATGCGGCGTTATTTCTGAGGGCTCTGTTCTGTCCCATTGATCTATATCTCTGTTTTGGTACCAGTACCGTGCTGTTTTGGTTACTGTAGCCTTGTAGTATAGTTTGAAGTCAGGTAGCGTGATGCCTCCAGCTTTGTTCTTTTGGCTTAGGATTGACTTGGCAACGCGGGCTCTTTTTTGGTTCCATACGAACTTTAAAGTAGTTATTTCCAATTCTGTGAAGAAAGTCATTGGTAGCTTGATGGGGATGGCATTGGATCTATAAATTACCTTGGGCAGCAAAGACTTGGAACCAATCCAAATGTCCAACAGTGATAGACTGGATTAAGAAAATGTGGCACATATACACCATGCAATACTATGCAGCCATAAAAAATGATGAGTTCATGTCCTTTGTAGGGACATGGATGAAATTGGAAATCATCATTCTCAGTAAACTATCGCAAGGACAAAAAACCAAACACCGGATGTTCTCACTCATAGGTGGGAATTGAACAATGAGAACACATGGACACAGGAAGGGGAACATCACACTCTGGGGACTGTTATGGGGTGGGGGGAGGGGGGAGGGATAGCACTCGGAGATATACCTAATGCTAGATGACGAGTTAGTGGGTGCAGCACACCAGCATGGCACATGTATACATATGTAACTAACCTGCACATTGTGCACATGTACCCTAAAACTTAAAAGTATATTAAAAAAAAAGGGGGGTATACACACAATCAGGTGTCAAGCAGTGGCACCTCGTGCAAAATAATAAACTCATCTAAGATCCTAGCAGTTCATTCTGAAAATAAAGCTGGAAATATATCTTGGATATGTAAAATGTGAGTGTAAAAATTAATGAAACTAAGCAATGGGAATATGAGTAGTAAATTATTTGAGAAAATATTATAACATTTACTTTTTTAAATTTCAAAACTATATTTCCTTATTTAAAACTGAAAATTTTTGTGTACATATATGAAACTAATTGTGTCATTTTTCTTTTTGTTACAATATAGAGTGATGTTTCAAAACACAAACATAATAGGTAGAGTCAATTACTTAGGGGAGTCTAAACCTGGAGGTAACATTAGAAATAGAAATAATAAAATGCAGTGTTTTTGGATTTGTCTGTTAAGATTATTTTAATCCAAATCATATTTAATGGTTTACATAGTTGTATATCAAATTTGGTTTTAGAAATAAATTATACAGTAAATTTAAAAATGCAAAAAATGTATATTGTTATACATTCTGTAACCTATGAATCCATATAACTTGGGCAAGAAAATTATATAATTAAAAATAAAACCTTTCTGTTCTCAATTATGTTTTAGGGACAGCTATATAGTTCACACTCACAAAGGAATCATAAAAACTCTATGTATAATCTTGGAAGTAAAAATATCTGTTGTATCATATTTATGAAGTATACAATTGATTAAAAATGATAATGTCTGTCTTCTATCCAACGGCAATAACAGAAGATAATGGCATATAAGTAGGCCTGTCTCCTTTTTTTTGGCATTGATTTATATATCTTTACTAGCTTTGTTGTTTTAACTCCAATAAAAGATTATTTAGTAAGCCAAAGCAAAAAAAAAAAAAAAAAATCCTGTGAGCAGCCACAAACTGAAAGACTACGATTTTTAGTCAATGTCCTAAGCAACACAGTAATTTTAGGTTAACCAATGTGTCAAAGAGAATGAGGAAAAATTATTACAAAAATGAATAAATAAACTGGTCTAGGTCAAACCGTACTCCTTCTAAAGAGAGTAGTCAACTGATATTAAAGCCTATGACGTAGTATGTGCCATATTGAGTATGCAATATCTAAATATTTCTTTTTTTTCTTTCTCCAGCTACTGCAAACCCTAATTGTTTCCTTATCCGATCACTTTAAAGTCATTCAGCAAATCATAATTATGCCATTGTTAACATCAGAAACTGAAAACCTACTGTCAAAAGTGAGCTAAAATATCATATTTGGATTTATTTATAAATTTATTTTATAAAAAGATTGACTTTCAATTTGAGAATAACATAAAAAATCAATTCATTCCTCTGTGCATCAATATTGTATCATTGGTAGTTTAAACTTTTCATCTAATATTAGATTGCATGCAGGATTTTATATCTAATTACTCTGGCAGATGGCCTTTAGAAAGTTCAAAAATAAAATGCAGCAATTCATATTGGCAGATTTACTATTGAGACCAATGCTTTCTTAACTAACAGGTTTTGTTTAAAATCGTTAGTTTAGGAAATCTGATAAAGAGTTTTGAATATCAGAGCGTTTAAAAGAGATTCTTACTTTACATCTGGCATATTTCTTGTGTTACATATTATAATTTCATTGAACATGGCTGTCTGTAAAACTATGTATATGATCCGGAAGAGACTCAAACTAAATTAAGTTTTAACAGCCATCAATTCATTTTAAAATGACACAGGCATGAAAAATGATCTATCAAGATTTGTAAATCTTATTCTGTTAGCTATTGCTAGAGATAGTCTAAAGGTATTCTACTTGGAATTTGAGATCAAGACAAAGATTTTCTGTTAGTAATAATATTCAGATTATTTTTATTTTGATGTATAAATTTAAAATTCTTAGAATATTTTCAACAATATTTTCCATTTCTAAATTTATTTTATTTCTAAACAAATGTAATTACTTTATTTATTAACTTTTATTTTCAGTTCAGGGGTATATGTGCAGGTTTGTTATATAGGTAAACCTATAGGTAAATAGGTATACAGATTATTTTGTCACCCAGGCATTAAGCCTATGCGCGTTAGTGAAAAATGTTATTGCTTTAAATATCCAAATTATTCAGCTGCATTTGATCTCATTCTTTAGTCCAATGTAAGTAAGAGTAAAACAATGACATTTAAGGCCACCAGGCTATTCTCATTTTTGGAAAAATGCTGGATTACATTACCAGCATATTAAATGAGAATATCAAGGTGTAATATCTCCCTAGAAATTGTCTCACCTTCAATACTATTGACATTTTTGGACCTGATAATTTTGTTGTGGGCTCTAGCCTCATGTTATAGGAGGTTTACCAGTTTTCCTGCCCTAAACTTACCGGATGTGAATAGCACACTCCACTACCTACAGCAGTAAAAACTAAAATTGTCTCTAAACATTGACAAATTGTCCCTGGTAGTGAAAATCACCCCTGGTTGAGACCGTGTTGTTGAAAATAAAACAAAAACTTTCACATCAATAAATATGTTAGGCTGTGTATGTTAAGGATTAACATTAAGACAATATGGAGCAAGCACTACATGAAAGCAGTGACGATTGGGAATTAGTGGCACATTATCCTAATAGTTAATATAGTGACTGTAATATCTAAATATCATCCTATAGAGTTTTTCTTAGATTTTTTCATTAGTATAACAGGATGTTGTGTATGTTACACTGTATATACTGTTATTTTGAGAGACAATTTTGGGAGATTTTGCCAAGGTATTTTCAATTATAGGTCTTTAATACATTCTAAGCAAGTGGGTCTCAAAAATGGGAATTTTACACCCCACATTCTTCTTCCCATCCGGTGGACATTTGTCAATGTGCGCAGATATTTCTGATTAAAAAAAAAAAAAAACTGTGAAAGAGAGGGTGTGCTACTGGCATCTGGTGGTCGAGGCTAGGGATGTTGCTAATCATCTTACAATGTACACGATAGTTCCCCACAATGACTTTGAGAAACCCTGCTCTGACACTACTGCAGGATGAATTTTAAGCACAATTATAAGAGAGGACCTAGATATTGAGTTTTAAAAGGAGAAAATATAAGTACAAAAGAAGAGTGAAGATTGTTACAACAGGGGCAAGTAGAAGTTAGAAGAAAATGTGATAAAGTAAATCTACATTTTAGAATAGTACTGGAAGTTATTATCAGGTGTTACAGACAAGTTTGAGACTTCCGTAAGTGACCTAAAGAAATTATGGACACTGCAAGACTAAATAATCATTCATTTAGGAAGGAGCTTAAATGCACTTTCTCAAGGCCGGGCGAGGTGGCTCACGCCTGTAATCCCAGCACTTTGGGAGGCCAAGGTGGGCAGATCACGAGGTCAGGTGATCGAGACCATCGTGGGTAACACGGTGAAACCCCGTCTCTACTAAAAAATACAAAAAAAAATTAGCCGGGCACGGTGGCGGGCGCCTTAGTCCCATCTACTCGGGAGGCTGAGGCAGGAGAATGGCGTGAACCCGGGAGGCGGAGTTTGCAGTAAGCCGAGATCCCGCCACTGCACTCCAGCCAGGGTGACTGAGTGAGACTCTGTCTCAAAAAAAAAAAAAAAAACTTTCTCAAGCATGCTAAGTCACAAAATTTGAGTTATCCTGAGCTTTTTTTACTTTAAGCTATCAAGCCATTGTTTGGAATCTTCAGAACCTCTTTAGAGTTTGGGATTTAAGAGTCAGTAGGTAGATAGTGAGCTTAAGATGCCAAACACAACATATAAAGCTATAAAAATCCATATGATCTTGAAAGATTAAATGGAAGCCCAGCACAAAACAATTGCTGAGTATATTATTTACATTATCTGAAAGTATGCCAAACAGACACTTTATATGTTAATAAAGATATGAGAAAGAAAATTCCAAAGAGTTTCTAAAAAGTGAACAACCACAAAATTTCAATAGCTTGCAACAAACATTTTCTTCTCACTCATGTTACCTGATGGAAAATCAAATGGCTGCCTGGAGACAGCATGGAGGGAGAGACTGATTACTGAGGTGCACAAGAAAACTTTTCATAATGATGGTTGTGAATGTAGTGATATTTCCAAAAGTATATACATATATATATATATATATCTATCTCAAATTTGACCACATCACACATTTCAAGTATACTGAATTGACTGTGCATCTCTTATTATACCCCAGGAAAGTTGAAGATATGACAATGAAAAAAAAATTCTTCCACCGACTACCCATCAATTTTCTTCTCATTAGCCTCACAGATTTCACAGTTAATTAAAGGGAAGATGCAAATATGTTCAAACTGTACATATTCTGAGGCCCATACCTTGCCATTAGCTCAATAAAGAGAGACATTGTCCCTGGCATGAAAATGAAAAACTTGCACACTCCCTATGTGGCTTCTGGACACTCTTAAGACATGAACACACTTTGGGGGCTCACCCTGTCAGGCTTTGCTCTCCGAGCTTAGATGAGAAAAACACAAAAATAAAACCAAAAGGTGACATTTAGGTGCCCATCAAGAAAGATGTGTTGGGAACTGGACAGGTCAGGGCTTTAAGTACTGTATCTTACTGTATGTTTAAGTACTGTATGTTACTGTGGAAACTTACCCATTTTCCCCTCAGAACAACTCTGTCTCAGGAGGTGAGTCTGAGAGCTACTGTTTCTTTGTAAAGGTTTTATCTGATCAGGCCCACGGTCACCACGTCAGCCCCACTGCCCCTAAATAGTTTGAATCTTGATGTTTTGATTTCAAAGACTTCTGATTCTAGCTACATAGCTTTGTCCATTTCCCACCTTACCACTATTTACTTTGAATTTTGTTGCATGCCGAGACCAGTGACTGCCACAAATGTGACTGTTCCTAGAATCTGCTTTCTGCTCTGATCTTTAGTCAGTGTGCAGACTCTAACATAAACTCCTTTCTATCGTATTTTCTTGAGTCCAAGAGCCCATAGATTGTATAATGCACTATTTTATGTCCCGTTAAGCAAGTAATTCGCATTGTGGCTAATTAAACTAAGACATACCACTGAATTGTAAAATGCATTATATTTTCAGGAGATATTAAAATATGAAATGTATAGGTCTTGGAATAGATGAATTGTGACAGTATCTTTGGAAAGCTAATTCAGTTGCAGTATTGCTTAAGATGTCTTTAAGAGCTGACTTCCTTTAGTTGGAATACATATGTAAATTATTTGCAGAGGAGATTTACCTCTTTTATCTCATTCATTTGTTTATTCAGTCATTTATTGATATCAATATGGACTAAGGAAAATTACATTTTTGGGTATAATCCAAATATACTACCAATTAATGTATTGTGTTGCTAAAATTATTCTAGAAATTGAAAGACCTTTCACTTGGCCCCTGTGCTTGTTTGACATATCTCACGAATAGATTTTTGTTAGTATTTTCATAATTTCTGGCACTAGAGGATGTCCCAGGCTCATCTTGTGTATTTTCTTCCCCATTCTTAGAATCAGCCACTTTCAAAGACGCCCTGCTTTCTATATATGAAATCAATATTTAAGTGCTAGCTGTGCCTGTAGCTAAGGGAGTATCAATTTTTTCATAGCTCTCTAAGATGAGAGAGCAAAGAAACAATGTGTATATTCTTACACATATCTTTAAATATTTCTATATGTAAACATCTATATTAGTCCATTATCCCATTGTTATAAAGAACTACCTGATCCTAGGTAATTTATAAAGAAAAGAGCTTTAATTGCCTCACAGTTGCACAGGCTGTACAGGAAGCAAGGATGGGGAAGCCTCAGAAAACGTACAGTCATAGCAGAAGGCAAAGAGGAAGCAGGCACATCTTACATGGCTGGAGAAGGAGGAAGAGAACTAAGGGGGAGATGCTACACACTTTTAAACAACCAGATTGTGTGAGAACTAAGTCATTATCACAAGAACAGCAAGGAGGAAATCTGCCCCCATAATCCAATCCCCTCCCACTAGACCCCTCCTTCAACACTGGCGATTACAATTGGACGAGAGGTTTGAGAGGGGACAAAATGTAAACCATATCACCATCTATGTCTGTATTAAGCTAAACATGGGTTCTTACTGATGTCACTACCTCTAACCTAGTCCCGCAAGCATCAATGCCTTCCTGTATCTCTAAACCCCCACTCCAACAATAAAAATCCTGACTCTTACTTTGTGACATCTATTTAGTTAATTGTTCACTTCCAGTATATGTATATAGCTGTACCAGAATTGATAACCTGCCCTTAGTAGAAGAACATCTTTATCAACTAAATTAAGTGCCTTCGTACAAGTTTCTTTTGCCTTTCATCTTAAGAGACTGCACTCATTTTCAATATCACTTTGACTAGCACCCTTTCCCTTAAGTCCCTCACTGAAGTTATTTTGTATGGTTCATAATAGAGCTAGATAAATTTGTAACAGTCTGCATTCCATCCTGAGATTCTACAACCTTTTAATTAATTTTTAATTAAAAATATAACTTTTATTTTGGTAAATATTAGCACTTCTGTGCCACACTACTATATATAAATATCAAAAAAAGGTCCAGAAAGCTATAGAAAATTTGAGTAAAGTGCTGAATGTTGAACCTAACAATAACTGGGCTAAAGTAAGTACAGAAGGCAATTTTTTATTTATGTAAATTTATGGGATACAAATATAATCTTATTACCTCCATAAAGTACATAGTGTTGAAGTAAGGGTTTTAGAATATACATCACCTGAAAAATGTACATTGTACTCATTACATAATTTCTCATCATCCCCTCCTCCCACCCTCCTGAAATTTCCAAGTCTCTGTTGTCTATCATTCCACATTCTATGTCCATGTGTATACATTATTTAGCTTCCAGTTATAAGTGAGAACATGCAGTATTTGTCTTTCTGTGTCTGATTTGTTTCACTTAAAATAATGACCAGTTACATCCATGTTGTTACAAAAGACATGATTTTATTCTTTTGTATAGCTGAATAGTATTCTATAGCGCATATGTGCCAGATTTATTAATGTAATCATCCACTGAGGGACACATTGCTATTGTGAATAGTGCTGTGATAAACATATGGGTGCAGATACCTTTTTCATACAATTATCTGTTCTCCTTTGGGTAGATCTCCAGTAGTGGGATTGTTGGGTGAAATTGCGGTTTTATTAAGAATGTATATTCTGTAGTTGCTGGGTAGTATTTTCTGTAAATGTCAGTTAGGTCTATTTCATCTAAGGTTGAATTTAAGTCTTAGGTTTATTTGTTTTCTGTCTTGATGATAACATTTAATGCTGTGAGTGAGATGGTAAAGTCCCCCAGTATTATCGTATTGCTGTCTATTCCTTTTTTATGTCTAGTAATATTTATTTGATGAATCTTGGTGGTCTAGTGTTGGATGCATATGTGTTTAGAATTGTTATATCCTCTTGCTGAATTGATCCCTTTATCATTATGTAATGACTTCCTTTGTCATTGTTATACTGTTTTAGATTTAAGTTCTGTTTTACTTGATATAAGTATAGCTATTCCTGCTTGCTTTTAGTCTCCGTTACATGGAGTATCTTTTTTCACCCATTTACTTTAAATCTGTATGTGTCTTTACTTTTCAGTCTGTATGTGTCTATATGTTTCTTGTAAGCATAATATTTTTGGATCATTTTTTAGTTCGTTCCATCAATCTACCTTTCTTTTTTTTTTTTTTACTTTTAGATGGAGTTTCACTCTGTCATCCAGAGTGGAGTGCAGTGGCGCAATCTTGGCTCACTGCAAACTCCGTCTTGCAGGTTCAAGCGATTCTCCTGCTTCAGCCTCCCAAGTAGATGGGATTACAGGTGCCGGCCACCACGCCTGGCTAATTTTTGTATTTTTAATGGAGATAGGGTTTCACTATGTTGGCCAGCCTGGCCTCGAACTCCTGACCTCGTGATCCACCCACCTCGGCCTCCCAAAGTGCTGGGATTACAGGTGTGAGCAACTGCACCTGGCCCAATATCTATCAATCTATATATTTTAAGTGGAATGTTTAATTCATTTACATTCAAGGTTAATGTTAATACATGAGGTTTTCTTTCTGCCATATTGCTGTTTGTTTTCTACTTGTTTTATAAGTTCCTTGGGGTTATTTTGTTGTTGTTTTTTGTTTTTCTTTCTGTGTGTCTCTTTGTCTTCATGGTTTGGTGGAAATCTGTTGTGTTGCTATTTGATTGCTCGTCCTACTTTGTGTGACTGTTTTACAAGACCTATGAGTTTGCTACTTTCATGTGTTTTGATGATGATGATGAATGTTGACCTTTCATTTTTGTGTTTGGGACACCTTTGAGTATTTCTCATAGGACTCGTTTGGTGGTGACGAATTCCCTCAGTGTGTGCTTGTCTGGAAAATACTTTGAATCATTTCAAGAAAATTAGCAGTGAGTTATGTCAATCAAGCCATTGGTTTGTATTTGGTGGCACATTTACTCTGTATTATTTCACACTAGAACCATCTGAGTTAAGTTTTATTATTTGCTATATGTTGCAGATGAAGAAACTGAAGCTGAGAGAGGTTTAGTGAATGACTAAAAAGGTTGTCAGGCTGCAGGGAAAAAAACAAAACAAAACTGTACGACTAGCCTGCAATGCTTCCCAAAGTATGTAGCTTATTATTATTGGTCACTTTTTGAGTACAAAATGCTGTGCTATGTAACAGAATAATACAATGTACATATACATATCAATTAACATAAGCATAACTGTAATCACATATACTGATAAATAAAAATATAAAGTAATATATGGTAATGACCCAACCATTTGCCTAAGTTTCATGTATTACAGAAGTTTTGAGGAGGGACTTCAGCTGTATGCAAATCAGCAATTCGGGTTGTACAGTTGATTACCCATTAGTTCAGAATTTTAATAATTTAAAATGTATTTATTAAGAACCTAACAATTGGAAGACCTTACAATAGGTGGGAAAATTCGACAGATGAATAATGCTTAGGAGATATCAGCATGTTTTGGAAGGATATTCCCATGAAGAGAAAAAGTATCGTGGGAAGTGTGGGAAGTGTTATGGTGCGAGAGTAATACAGGTTCCAGCATGTGTTTACATTATTTTGTTGGAGGTGTTGGGGAACCTTTCATGGAAGGTGTGTGGTAGACTGTTGGACAGGTTTCCTCAACTTTCGTTCCACTCTTTGAAGAGGTTAGAAAACTAAAACAAAACAAAACAAGC
Organism: Homo sapiens; assembly: GCF_000001405.40. Lineage (NCBI taxonomy): Eukaryota > Metazoa > Chordata > Mammalia > Primates > Hominidae > Homo > Homo sapiens. Next base: position 894,649 of record NW_003315917.2, read on the forward strand.
AATGCAGCTTCCCTTGAGCTAGCTTTATGAATGCAGCTTAGACCACTTACCGATTGTTTGCATATGAATCAGACTTAGAAAAATGGAAGAGATCAAAGCCTGTCTTGCTATTGTTGATTCTGGCAAGTGAAATCATGGGGACAATAGTTCAGAAGTAGTGGAAGTGGTAGGATTCAATATCCTTGTGCCTAATCCCCAGTTTCATGGGCATAAGAGGCTTAAAGTTTTAATAGCAGGAGCATCTTTTTGACCCAGGATTGCAGAAATGATTGCGTGCCTTTGAATTCAAGAACTCAAAACCTTCCTCCATGCCACAGCTACTTTAGTTATTTTAGCCCTTCCTATTGTATATGTATGAAATGCACTTTCTGCTTAAGATACCTATTGCGGTTTTTATTTCCTTATTAAAACCTTGGAAAAATATAGCACTTAAATTATGTTTTGTAGAAATTCACTAAGCAAATAAAGCTAAAGGGGGAGAGAGTTAACCTTCTCTGCCCCCTTTTTATCAGAAGTTAGTTGTAGAAGAAATACACAATTTTTGCGCAATTTTAGCACCATCTAAGTTCTGTAGGTCTGGAACACAGACTGGTTAAATGAGCATTTCAGGAGCACTATAGTTGCAAAGTTAAGCAGTCACCACAATTTTATGTGTCATACAAAGATTTTTAACTTTATGTTTAAGCAACGAGCCTAGAAGCAAATGGTATTTCCATCAAGAATCGTCTCATATAAAGTAGAGCGTTTTGGAAAATGAAGTTATTAATAGATAAAAACATGTTTATGCAGTTGGTTTCTAAGTATGACAAACCTATTTCTTGGTAAATTGCAAGTCCATTCCACCTGTGTTTGTAGGCTCATTTGCCTAAAAGTCTTGGGATTTTTTCTGATGATCTATTAAATTTTCTTTCTGATTATCTTTTCTAATGCTGTAATAGCATTTCTAACACTGTAATGAAAGAGAACAAAAGTACACGCTTGCTCATCATTTACTAATTCTAAAAATATATATTGAATACATCTATGTAGCAGGTACTGTGGTAGGTGTGGAAGATAGTTGAGACAGGTAACAAGCCCAACATTACGGAGCTTAGCATCACCACCTAGAAGAGTTTTTAAAAAACATAGATAAGTGAATCATGATTATAAAGACAAAGAGATTCTTGCCATATAATTACATATAAGCAAATTTAGGATGTGATGAAAGATTTTGATATTGGTCTTCTGATTTGGCTGTAGGATGAAGTGTTTATAAGTCATCCCAAGGAAGAAACAATTCAGATGAGAACTATTCAATGGATTTGCAATAACAATCCAAAGATGGAAGAAGACACTTCTAGGTAGACAAAATTGCAAGTATAGAGAATGTAAATTAAGAGAGAGCTTAGCTTTCAGATGAATTAAAAGATTGTGGTGATCAGAATGTAGAGATTGACGAGAGACAAATGAAATAAAACTAGAAGGACAAGTAGAGATTTGTGGGTCAAGTTTTAAAATTTTATTATAAATGCACTGATACTGTTCTGAACATTTTCTTACACATGGAAATTTAATGATTATGGCTATTGAAAAATGTAACTCTTCATTTATATTTTTCCGAGAATGAAATCGGTGGAATTGCTGGGGGGTGAAAATGTCCAATGCGAAACAGGAGGCTAATTTAAGAAGGGATACTGCAAAATTGGTCATGATGGCTCAAACTGCTGTTCATAATAGAGAGAAGAAAATGGATAGAGTTACATATGGATGAGAGTAAATTGACAAGGCTAAATGCTAAAACGTGGGTAGTGACAGAAAGTAGGTGTCAAAATAGACTTCCAGGAAAAGAAAAAATGGGTCTACAAAAGAGCCAAATGCTGATGTGGGTTACATGATCCTGAGCAGATGCAGATGTAATTGGTTAAGTAAAGTAAGTTCTTAAGATAGATTTGGCCTGGCGCTATACATTCTAGAGCCCCTGAATATAAGTGGGATATAAAACCATGGGAATGACTGTATTTGTCTAAGGAGAGAATTTGGCAGAAGAAAAGGAGACATAAGATGAAATGCAGAGGAAATTCAAATTTAATTGGCAGGTGTAGGAAGACAAGGAGATGACAAAAGGAACTGGAAATGAGTAATCAGAGACAGAAAAGTAAAAGTAAGAGTAGAATGTCATGGAAGGCAAATAATTGGAATGTTTCAAGAACAGGGAAATGGGCAATAAAGAGAAGAAAAAAATAGTGACCAGAGGGTATAGTAATGTGTAGAAATTCATCCTGTGTTAGGTTTGATTGCTTAGACGTTTTATATAAAAATCTTTCCCAGAGAGTAATAAAACAGAAGTGAGGTTAGAGAAAGAACATACGATTTAGCCAAAAGGTGGGAAAAGTTAGGAAATGAAGAATAAATATGTTTAAAGATAATGTTATGGCTACTCAATGTACAACCTCTTTTCTTTCATTATTTTTAATTGTCATATTTAAAAATAGTAATTACCACTTTTAAAAATTGTCTTATTATTTGTTACATAAGAAAATGCATTAATTCAAGCCACATAGTATCATTTATATTATGACTGTCGAAACATTACTAGAATTACTAGAACTATTAACCTAATGGCCTGAAAATTTCAACTCACTTCCCTAGCTGTCCTGATGATCATTAGTGAAAGGAAAGACTCCATTAAATAATGCTTACTTATAGAGAACTGGTTATATCTGTCTCATTTCCATACATATATCTGTATAAATTAATTTGATTAATAAAACAAACACAAGGCACAAACAACAAAACACAGTTTATAAATGTCATTGAAAAATGCATGCCTGTACAATTTGGGTATTTGTAATTGTAAATTGATATACTTCATTTTTTATCCAGGAGTTACTTAGATTGAAACTTTACCTAATGTATGATAAAATAATACGTGATTAAATTTAAAAACATGATGAATTTATTTAAAATTGGCTTCAATAATGTCAGAAAGTAATAAAATAAAATGATTCCTTCAAAGACTGCACCTGTTTATTGCCTGAGATTATCTCTCTTGGCCACAAATCAATATTACTTTCTTTCATTCATCAGTGATAAAGCTTTTCAATAATTCTAATTTTAAAGGATGATTACAGCAAGTATATAGTCATTGATTGCTTAAAGGTTGCAGCTAAAATGAACACAATGGTCATTTTATTTTTAATAAATGAGCCCTTTTGAAAAGTCAAGCATTTTTCCTCTCACAAAACTTTGTGTAATAAGATTATAGATTTGATCATGTATGAGTTTGCACTGTGTGTGTGTATATATGTGTGTGATTTCAGCGATAAAGTTCACTGTTCCACAGCTGGCAATTTCTTCTGCTTAATTGAAAATTCCGTTTTAAAATATTTCTTTAAAGTTCTAAAATGGGTTTAAATGGGTTCATGAGCTGTAATACTATTAAAAATATATATATATCTACATATTTGTTGATTCTTCTCAGTTTAAGAAGTGGAGCTTCATACTCCTCCCCTTGAAGGCAGGCTAAGCTGAGTGACTCCCATCTAAGAAATAAAACACCGCAGGATTGGAATGTTACCTTGTGAGACAAGGTCACAAAGGCTAGGGTTTTAATTTTGAGTGAACTAATTTGCTCCTTACTGGTGTTTCTCTCTCTTTCTCTCCTTCAACTCTTTACGAGCCCAGCCACCATGCAAATAATTCCAAACTATCTTTTCTAGAAAGCTCACATGAAGAACCAAGGCATCCTATCTGATATCCAGCCAAATGATTAAACATTCTAGAAGCAGACTATGATGCACTGAATTTGTGAAATCCTAACCCCCAGTGTAATGATAGTAGGAGGTGGAGCTTTTGGTAGATGATAGTCTGTCTTCATGTTGGGGATTAGTGCCTTGATTATTATTTTTTGTTTTTATTTTTATTTTTATTTATTTATTTATTTATTTTTGAGACAGAGTTTTGCTCTGTTACCCAGGCTGGAGTGCAGTGGTGCCATGTCAGCTCACTGCAACGTCTGCCTCCTGGGTTCAAGTGTTTCTTCTGCCTCAGCCTCCTGAGTAGCTGAGTAGCTGAGACTACAGGTACGCACCACCACACCTGGCTAATTTTTGTATTTTTAGTAGAGACGGGGTTTCACCATACTGGCCAGGCTGGTCTGGAACTCCTGACCTCGTGATCTGCCTGCCTCAGCCTCCCAAAGTACTGGGATTACAGATGTGAGCCACCGTGCCCAGCCGGGGATTAGTGCCCTTATAAAAGAGACCCCAAAAAGCGTCCTTGCCCCTTCTGCCATGTGAGCTAGAGGACAGTAATCTATGAACTAAAAAATGGGCTCTGACCAGACACCAAATCTGCAAGCACCTTGATTTTGCACCATCCAGCCTCCGGTACCATTAGAAACGTTTCTGTTGTTTATAAGCTACCCTGTCTATGGTATTCTGTAGCGACAGTGCAAACAAACTAAGACACGGACCTTCCAACACAAGTTAAAGGCTTCAGGGGATGCTGCCTGGGTCAACAACATGACAGCAACCTTTACTCATGAGAGACTTCGAGTCAGAACCACCTACCCAAATCCATCATTTCCCTGACTTCTATGAATTGTGTCATACATATTTGTTATTTTAAGCCATTAAGTTTTAGGGTAATTTTTAAATGGAAAAATACATGATCATAGGTAAACTATAATTAATAGAAAAATCTAATGCCAATAATATTTACCATTGATTGACCGTCAAAACTCCATTAATTATTTGCTTTCCATTTATATTTATTTTTGGATTTCTTTTTTAAGAGAATGGCACCTGTGACAGCATACTGTTACTATTACCCTTTTATCGTACTTTACCATGCCATCTCTGAAGAATATTACAGACCATTTTGGAGCATGGTGAATAAGAAATTTTCACCTTAGGAGTTCAGTTGAATAGTCATTTTTATATTTGTGACTGCAAGTCACTCTTAGGGGCTGTACTTCCTTAGTACTGGTAGCATTATTATCCAATGGACTTTTATAGCTTTCATTAGGTTTTCTTTTGTTTTTGTTCTTTAAAGAACGTTTTACTTATCTTAGTATTTCATTTTTCATCTATATTATGAGGCAGTAAGAGTCTTCTGTTTTTCCAAAGTTGAGACTGCTTTATATTTATTTCGTATTGTCTACAGCTGTAGTGTTCAATACATTAGCCACTAGCCACATGTGGTTATTTAAATAAGATAAAATAAAAATTGGCCGGGCGTGGTGGCTCACGCCGGTAATCCCAGCACTTTGGGAGGCCGAGGCGGGCAGATCATTAGGTCAGGAGATCGAGACCATCCTTACTAAGACGGTGAACCCCCATCTCTATTAAAAATACAAAAAATTAGCCGGGCGTGGTGGCGGGCGCCTGCAGTCCCAGCTACTCAGGAGGCTGAGGCAGGAGAATGGCGTGAACCTGGGAGGCAGAGTTTGCAGTGAGCCGAGATGGCGCCACTGCACTCCAGCCTGGGGGACAGAGCGAGACTCCATCTCAAAAAAAAAAAGAAAATTAAAAATTAAGTTCTTTAGTTGCACTAGCCATATTTCAAATACTTGATGGATACATGTGGCTAGTGGCTAACATAAGGGATAGCACAGATATAAAACATTTGCTCGTCATATAAAGTTCTATTGGATAGTGCTGGTCTGTAGCTTATAGGATGGTATCTTAGTCTGCTTCAGCTGCTAAAACAGAATACCATAAATTAGGTAGCTTAAACAGTAGATATTTTGACCAGGCGTGGTGGCTTATGCCTGTATTCCTAACACTTTGGGAGGCCGAGGCAGGTGGATAACTTGAGCTCAGGAGTTTGAGACTAGCCTGGGCAGCATGGCAAAACCTTGTCTCTACGAAAATCAGCTGGGCATGGTGGTGCACGCCTGTAGTCTGAGCTACTTGGGAGGCTGAGGTGGGAGAATTGCTTGAACCTGGGAGGCGGAGGTTGCAGTGAGCCATGATCGCACCACTGTACTCCAGCCTGGATGACAGAATGAGACTCTGTCTCAAAAAAAACAAAAACAAACAAACAAAAAAACAGATATTTCTCACAGTTCTGGAGACTGGAAGTGCAAGATCAAAGTGTTGGCAAATTGTGTTTATTAAAGAGGGCCTGCTTCCTAGATTGGAAATGGCCATCTTCTCTCGGTATCCTCACATGGTAGGGAGAAAAGCAGCTCTAGTGTCTCTTCTTATAAAGGAAGTAATGCCACCATAGGGGCTCTATTCTCATGACCTCATCTAAACCTAATTCTCTCCTAAAGGCCACGCCTCCCAGTATCCTCACCTTGGGGGTTAGGGCTTTATCATATGAATTTTTTTTTTTTTTTTTTTTTTTTTTTTTTTGAGACAGAGTCTCGCTCTGTCTGTCACCCAGGCTGGAGTGCAGTGGCACAATCTCGGCTCTCTACAAGCTCCGCCTCCTGGGTTCACGCCGTTCTCCTGCGTCAGCCTCCTCAGTAGCTGGGACTAAGGCGCCCGCCACTGCGCCCGGCTAATTTTTTGTATTTTCAGTAGAGACGGGGTTTTACCATGTTAGCCAGGATGATCTCGATCTCCTGACCTCATGATCCACCCGCCTCGGCCTCCCAAAGTGCTGGGATTACAGGCATGAGCCACCGCGCCCGGCCTATCATATGAATTTTGAGGGAACACAAACATGCAGTCTGTAGCAGATGGTAATAGGCTGACATATTACACTTGTTGATGTAAATCTGATAGGTTTCTTTCTCTCCAAGGACAGCTTTTTAAATATTTAACAGTATCAATAATTTTTCAGGTTCTGTGAGAATTTTATAATTTATAATTTGCAGACTTAACGTATAATCTATTTTGTCCTAACAATTACAAATATATTTTTTATTTCAGATTGTATATATTCCTACCAGATGGAGATAATTACAGCTTTAAAAATTTTTATTTTTTCATTTTATTTCACACATTGACATTAAATTTTTATGGACACATAATAACTGTACATATATATGGGGTAGAATGTGATGTTTTAATACATGTACTCAATGTGTAATGATCAAATCAGGGTAATTTGCATAATGATTTTTCTGTAGGGAGAAAATTCAAAATCTACTCTTCTGGCTATTTTCAAATATATAATATGTTATTGTTAACTATACTCATCCTACTATGCAATAGGACACCAGAACTTATTCCTGGGTTCTACATCCGTTAAGGCAACCAAGGATTGGAAATATTGGAAAAAAAAATTGCGTCTGTACTGAACATGTACAGACTTTTTTCTTGTCCTTATTCCTTACACAATATAGTACAATAACTATTTGCATGACATTTACATCGGATATTATGAGTGATCTAGAGTTGATATGAAGTATATGGGAGGATGTGCAAAGGTGATGTGCAAATACTATGTCATTTTATATCAGGGACTTGAGTATCCTTTGTTACCCTCAGGAGATCCTGAAACCAGTCCCCCATGGATACTGAGGGCTGACTGTATAGTCCTATCCTCACGGAACTTTCATTCTAATGGGGGAAGACTGACTATAAACAAAATATATGTAATAGGTGGTGGTAAGTACCGTGGAGAAGTAACAAACGGGGCAAAGTGAGTTATACAGCTCCATTCTTAGAAACCTTGGAGTACTTTTCTTAGTTTATACTCGTGGTGGTTTCCTTTTGTCTCCTTTATTACATGGGACTCTGACATGTGCCCATAGCTAGGGTGACAGTAGGATCTACCCGATAGTAGGGTGGCAGTAGGATCTACCCAAAAAGCGTCCTGCTGATACAGGACCAAAGCATCCTGTTGTTCTCGAGCCTATAAAAAGAGCTAATGGTCTTGCTTCTCTTAACTGTGGCCTCCTACACTGTGTTTTGGATGATTGGTGATGTCTTGGATATTCTGTTTCTTTGGAACTTTGAATATACAACACTTTACTAGGGAATTAGCAATGGAAGCAGAGCAAAGATGTACAGAGGAAACAATGCGTAACTCTGATGGAATTGAAGTCATGAGGCAGCAGAGAGCTTAAATTACAGCTTTAAAAATTTTTATTTTTTAGAGGGAATTTACTTGGGAGTAACAGCAGTAATAGTTAACGGAGCCAGAATGCTTGAGTCATATAATTGCAAAGCAGAGTTGGGAGCAACAGATGCTAAAGAGTAGTTGCTGTAGTTCCTCTTTGGGTCGTAGGAGCAGTTGTCATATTACTATATAGCTACTGCATGAAGAAGAGTTCTTAGTGAGGCCTGGGTGAACAGCTCTTCTTAGTATTCTGTGTGACCCCATTTGACCTTTTAACAAATCCCTAAGTAAATAAATAGCCCCTCAGGAAAACTAAGTTTTTCTCTGCTGTTTTTTTGCTTGAGAGAGCTATAACTGTAATAGACTTATATTTCTGAACATTTTAGTGCTTGCCAATATTTGGTAATATTTATGTTTCCTATATTTGTAATGAACATTCTTCTTCCGGTACATTTTTTGTTAAATTATTGTTTGATGGATAAAAGTTCACCTTTTATTGTATAAAATTGACTGAGATTAATTTATACACATTGACAATGGGTAAATAGAATTTTTCAGATTATTAAAAGCTGAAGGATGCCCACGTAAGCAAAAAAAAAAAAGAAAAAACCAACAAAAATAAACCCAAACCCCTCAAACAATTTCGAACACGAAACATTCTTCTGATGCCGGCATCCCTGCTTGCAGGTGTGAAGGGGGCAGGAATCAGCGAGGTGTCCTGGGCTGAGTCCCCGGAGTGGGAAGAGGTGGCAGGAAGGGGATCTGAGGAGGAGAACAGGGGTCCTGGTGGTCTGTGCTTCTTCCCAGACACGGGAGCTGTAGAGGAGACCTCTGCAGCAGATGCTAGGGGGGCCAGTAGGCCCAGGCAGTCTTGGGACTTGGGTCTGTCCTGCTGTGCATCCATAGTGGGTGCTTTAGAAACGGGAGGCCCACCCGAAGCCCCTGTTGCAAGTGAGGACAAAGTGTGGGAAGGCCGTGAGGGTCTGCAGTCCGGGATGGCCTTGTCCTCAACGTGCAGTGCACTGTTGATGCGCTGGAATGCCGTCTCTTTTTCCAGGTGCAGGTCTTCAGCCGTGACCCGGTACCCCAGCTCTAAAGGAGGTGGCAGCATCAAAGGCTCCCCTCGCCTGCGTGGCAGCAGGGGAATCTTGCGTCTACGGGGCCTAGAGTCCTGGGATCTGGGGGAGCCACCCGTTGGGGCGATTGTCTGCCCTGGTGCTGTATCTGCCCCCTTTTCACACCGTGTGTGACCCGAAGAGACAGCCTGAGGCCTGTCCTCACTCACTGTCTTTGAGTAACTGAGGGTCAGCTGGCAGCGGGATGAGGCTGGCCCCCTCCTCTGCTTTAGCCCCGGCAAGCCTCCCGTGGAGCTGTAGGAGCTGGAGATGGCATTTCGTTTGGTGTTCGAGCTCGTCCAGGATGTCTGGGATGTGTGGTTATATCTGATTTCTGAGCTCTGGGCGTGGAGGTCTGTCTGCAGAGGCCCGGGCCTGGGCACAAAGGGAGAGGGGCCTCCATTGTCCCGCAGGGGCCAAAATGCAGACCGTGCATCCCCGGTGACCTCGGGGACCGTTCTCTGATCATCAGGATTTTCTTGGACTCTGGGGTCCTTGTCCTGCTCAGGCATCCCTGCCCCGCTCTCCTTGAGGGCCCTCAACACTATCTTCCCTGGACACAAGTCTGGGGACAGCCGGGTGTTGTGGACCCCAAAGGGGTGACTACCTGCTCCTGGGCCCCACAGAGTCCTTGTGCTCAGTGTAGTGGCTGAGCTGGGGGATGCCCTGGAACTCGGAGCACACAGCACTGGCTTACTGTGGTACCTGTGCAGTGAAATTGAAGACAGAATCACCAGGATGGAACACAGGTCTTGCAGGATCACTTGAAACCTTCTTAGAGTTGTCTTGACACCAGTGATGTCGAGTGTGCGGGTGTTTGTAGGATGGCCTGCCACTCAGTCCAGGGGCAGGAGCAACGGGGAGATCCCACAAGCAAAGTGAACTGGGGGATGGGCTGAAGGGGCTCCAGGCAACTGAGCCCTACTCGCAGGTCCTCGGCCTTGGCCCAAACAGGAATGAGGGGCACAGAGTGCCCGGGTAACCGCTCCTGGGAGCAGTGGGGAACTGTCGGATACTTGAACTCTCAAGAGCTGGGCTCTGAGCGTCCTCGTCCAGCTGCCAACTTGGCCAAAGGCTAAGCCAGCAGATTGTTCTGTTGCCGGGCAACGCGACTTCTAAACCTGAGGGAGTGGGCATGTGAGCACATAATGGCACCAGTGACAGAGCGACCATAATGGATGAATAAGCGCAGCCAGGTACCCGCGCAAGGCACCTGCTGGCAATGGCAGGAGGCGGACGTGGGGGGTCGTGCAGTAGGTACTGGAGGGAGAGACGTGGGCACAAAGGTCGCGGGAGGAACAGGTGCCCACAATGGCTGCATATTTGCCCGTGGATCACTGAAGATTCCTGCTCTCCTGCTGAGGTGGAGACTGCAGTGAGCTGAGATCGCACCATTGCACTCCAGCCTGGGCAACGAGTGCAAAACTCAGTCTCCAGATAAAAAAAAGAAAAAGAAAAAAAAGAGGCCGGGTGTGGTGGCTTATGCCTATGATCCTAGCACTTTGGGAGGTCGGGGTGGACGGATCACGAGATCAGGAGTTGGAGGCCAGCCTGGCCAACATAGTGAAAGCCCGTCTCTAGTAAAAATACAAAATTTAGTCAGACATGGTGGGCAGGAGAGAGCATGTGCAGGGGAACATCCATTTATAAAACCATCAGACCTCATGAGACTTATTCACTACCATGAGAACAGCATGGGGGAAACTGCCTCCATGATTCAGTTATCTCCACCTGGCCCCACCCTTGACACATGGGAATTGTTACAATTCAAGATGAGATTTGGGTGCGGACAGAGCCAAACCATATAATTCTTCCCCGGCCCCTCCCAAATCTCATGTCCTCATATTTCAAAAGCAATCATGCCTTCCCCTAAGTCCCCCAAACTCTTATTTCAGCATTAACTCAAAATTCCATAGTCCAAAGTCTCATCTGAGACAAGGCAAGTCCCTTCCACCTATGAGCCTGTAAAATCAAAAGCAAGTTAGTTATTTTCTAGATACACAGGGATACAGGCATTGGGTAGATACACTCGTTTCAAATGGGAGAAATTGGCCAAAGCGAAAGAGCTACAGGCCCCATGCAAGTCCAAAACCCAGCAGGCAAATCTTAAAGCTCCAAAATGACCTCCTTTGACTCCATGTGTCACATCTAGGTGATGCAAGAAGTGGGTTCCCAGGGTCTTGGGCAGCCCCGCCCCTGTGGCTTTGCAGGGTACAGCCCCCCTTCTGGCTGCATTGAGTGTCTGCAGCTTTTCCAGGCACACAGTGCAAGCTGTCAGTGGATCTACCATTCTGGGGTCTGGAGGATGGTGGCCCTTTTCTCACAGCTCTGCTTGGCAGTACCCCAGTGGGGACTCTGTGTGGGAGCTCCAACCCCATATTTCCCTTTGACACTGCCCTAGCAGAGGTTATCCATGAGGGCCCCCCCTCCCCTCCCCTCCCCCCCACAGCAAACTTTTGCCTGGATTTCCAGGCATTTTCATACATCTTCTGAAATGTAGGCGGAGGTTCATGAACGTTAATGCTTGACTTCGGTGCATCTGCAGGCTTAACACCACCTAGAACCTGAAAGGCTTGGAACTTGCACCCTCTGAAGCCATGGCCTGAGGTGTACCTTGGCCCCTTTTACCTATGGCAGGAGCAGCTGGGATGCAGGGCCCCAAGTTCCTAGGCTGCACACAGCAGGGGGTTCTGGACCCACAAAACCATTTTTCCTTCTAAGCCTCCTGGCCTGCGATGGGAGGGTCTGCTGTGAGGGTCTCTAACATGCCCTGGAGACATTTGCCCCATTGTCTTGGTGATTAACATTTGGCTCCTCATTACTTATGCAAATTTCTACAACCCAGTCTCCTGAGAAAATAGATTTTTCTTTTCTGTTGCATCATCAGGCTACAAATTTTCTGAACTTTTATGCTCTGCTTCTTCTCGAATGCTTTGCTGCTTAGAAATTTCTTGTGTCAGATACCTTAAATCATCTCTCTCAAGTTCAAAGTTCCACAGATCTGTAGGGAACTCTAGAAAAAAATTCTTATTTTCCCTCTTTCCCGCCTATCTTATGCCCGTTTCTAATACAGGTGCACAATGCCTGCAGTGTCTTTGCATAGTAAGAGTGACTTTACTCCATTTCCCAACAAATTCCTCATCTGCCTCTGAGACCACCTCCGCCTGGACCTTGTTGTCCATATCACTATTAACATTTTGGTCAAAGCCATTCAACAAGTCTCTAGGAAGTTCCAAACTTTCCCACATTTTCCTATCCTCTTCTGAGCCTTCCAAACTGTTCCAGCCTCTCCCTGTTACCCATTTCCAAAGTTGCTTCCACATTTTCGGGTATCTTTACAGCAGCACCCCACTCTACTGGTATCAACTTATTGTATTAGTCTGTTCTCACACTGCAAATAAAGACATACCTGAGACTGGGTAATTTATAAAGGAAAGAGGTTGAATTGACTCACAGTTCTGCATGGCTGGGGAGGCCTCACAGTCATGGTGGAAGGCAAGGAGGTGCAAAAGCATGTCTCACATAGTGGCAGGCAGGAGAGAGCATGTGCAGGGGAGCTCCCATTTATAAAACCATCAGATCTCATGAGACTTAGTCACTACCGCGAGAACAGTATGGGGGGAACCATCCCCATGATTCAGTTATCTGCACCCGGCCCCACCCTTGACACGTGGGAATTATTACAATGCAAGGTGAGATTTGGGTGGGGACCCATCCAAACTATGTCAGTATGTTTTGACTTCTTGCTTGATTGCTAGGTTGCATAGAGGACAAACATGGAAATTAATGAAGTACCTTAATATCTGGCTTCAGATCTTAGACAGGATCAGAGGGCCAGCTCAAATTTGCAAGGAGGGGAGGTAGATCCCACCATTTTATGGGTGAATGGCAAAATGAAACAGAAATTATGTGGGATGGGAGATACTGATGCAGCCATCTTTGGAAACATTCTACTTAGCTAATTTTATGCTAGGCTTTAGGTCAAGAAGGAGAGAGAGAGCTGACATGCTGTGGTACACACTTATAGTCCCAGCGACTTGGAAAGCTGAGGCAGGAGGATTGCTTGATCCCAGGAGTTTGAGGTAGTGTGCGATGATCGTTCTTGTGAATAGCCACTAGCCACTGAACTCCAGCTTGGGCAACATTGAGACACCCTGTCTCTTAATTTAAAAAAAAAAAAAAAAAAAAAGGAGGAAAGAAAGTGGTCTCAGTTTTTAATGTAAATATTTTTAATGGGATACTGATATTTTAAGATTAATGTATATTGTATATCAGTTAACTGCAGGTCAATAATTATATAAAACTTAAGGTACGAAAAACATTTATTTTTGCTAACATATCTGTGAGTTGACTGTTGTTGGCTTGGTGAGGCTGCAAGCTGCAGATAGAGTCTAGGTATGTTTTCTGTGTGTTTGTTCCCCCTTGGATCAGTGGACTACCTGAGAATGTGTTTCTGTCACAGTGATAGAATCACAAGGAAACTCCAGTTCTGGAAGTACATTTTAAGCCATTGCTTCTCTCATGTCCACTAACATTCAGTCAGCCAAAGCACATACCTTGTCCATGGCTAACATTGATAGTATAGATAAATATACCTGATCTCTAGCAGGAGGAACTGCATTGTCTTGGGGAAAGGTTTTAGATATAGGGAGGGGTGATGAGTTGGGAACAATAATGTAGTCTGCCGCAAACATATTAAAGTGTAACTGGATATGATTGCTGCAGAATTTTGAACCTTTGTTTTAATTGTGATTTTTACTCTTTCCCCCCTATCTAGTGCCCTTTTGTAATACAGTAATTATCATGATTTTTGTCTGAACTGAAATCTTCTGAGATTAGATTGTCTACGAAAATACAGTCGATCCTCCTTGTTTTCAGCTTTTGTATTTGTGAACTCACCTACTATTTTTTGTAACCCCCAAATCAGTACTCACAGCACTTTCATAGTCATGTGTTTGCGCAGAGTGTCAAAGAATTTGAGTTTGAACAGGATGATATTCTGCCTTCTTTTTCAGCTCTCATACAATAGTCAGGTATCCTTTTTGTGGTCTATTTAATGCCATGCTTTTCCTGTTTTTGTACTGTTTGTTGGTTGTTTTGCCATTTAAATTAACCCCCAAGCATAGTGCTGAAGTGCTGCTTAGCATTCACAAGTCCAAGAAGTCTGTGATGTGTCTTACAGAGAAAATACATGCATTAAATAAACTCCATTCAGGCGTGAGTGCTGTAGTGCCGTTGGCTGTGAGTTCAATGTTAATGAATGAACAATGTATATTATTTATTTATTCTTCATTTAATTAATTATTATTATTATTTTTTTTGAGATAGAGTCTCACTCTGTTGCTCAGGCTGGAGTGCAGTGGTGCAGTCTTGGCTCACTGCAACCTCTGCCTCCTGGGTTCAAGCGATTCCCCTGCCTTCGCCTCCCAAGTAGCTAAGACTACAGGCATGCGCCACCATGCCTGGCTAATTTTTTTTTTTTTTTTTTGTAGTTTTAGTAGAGACGGGGTTTCACCACGTTGGCCAGGCTGGTCTCGAACTCCAGACCTCAAATGATCTGCCCGCCTTGGCTTCCCAAAGTGCTGGGATTACAGGCGTTAGCCACTGTGCCTGGCCAACAATATATATTAAATAAGCACACATACAACAAAAGTAGGTGTTGGTAAGCTTACAAAAGTGTGACCAGTAGCTTGCTGAAACCTAACTTTTTATTTGTTCATGGAACTTTCTAGACCGTAACTACACTGAATAATGAGAATCTGCTGTAATCTTTTTAGGTGCTGTAGATGAGCCATTGGATTAAATTATTACAGTATGTTTCAGACTGCTGTATGTTGAACCCTAGTGAAATGCCTCTCAAACCTTCATAAGGATCACAATCTCATGTCCTTTTTTTTTGTTATTAAATGCCCAGTATGTGTTAGCGATTTAAACAAAATTCAAATATTTTTTTTTTTTTTTTTGAGACAGAGTCTCGCTCTGTCACCTAAGCTGGAGAGTGCAGTGGTATGATCTCGGCTCACTACAACCTCTGCCTCCCGGGTTCAGGCGATTCTCCTGCCTCAGCATCCTGAGTAGCTGGGATTACAGGCACCCGCCACCACGCTGGGCTAATTTTTGTATTTTTAGTAGAGACGGGGTTTCGCCAGGTTGTCCAGGCTGGTCTGGAACTCCTGACCTCATGCGATCTGCCTGCCTTGGCCTCCTGAAGTGCTGGGATTATAGGCGTGAGCCACCATGCCCGGCGTTGACTTCTTAATAATAACCATACTGACTGGTGTGAGATGGTATGCCATTGTGGTTTTGATTTGCATTTCTCTAATGATCAGTGATATTGAGCTTTTTCTCATATGCTTGTTGGCCGCATGTGTGTCTTCTTTTGAAGTGTCTGTTTATGTCCTGTGCCCACTTTCTAATGAGATTTTTTTTTTCTTGTAAATTTGTTTAAGTTCCTTATCAGTGTTGGACATTAGATCTTTGTCACATGCATTGTTGCAAAAATTTTCTCCCATTCTGTAGGTTGTCTGTTCACTCTGTTGATAGTTTCTTTTGCTGTGCAGAAGCTTCAAGAAGAAAGGAATCCGATTGGTTCTGTGTCTGTCTCTTTTGGTATTCTCAGAATTATGTAGTCATTCATATAGAAAGATGATTAGGAAAATAGGACAAGAATAGCAGAAATCTACATAAAAATGTAGGAAATTAAAATTAGTTACCAGCATACAAAAAACTTCTGTATGTTATAATTACATACTATAACTCACCCCTCCTTGGCAAATATTCTCTCTCTTTTGACTTCAAAATCATGGCTTATATGTACTTTCTCTATTTCCCAGATGCAAATATAATTAATTGACTTTATTTATCTAGGAAATGTTACTCATATCTTAATTGTAGTCATTGGCTTGAGTGACGGGTTTTGGTAATTCAACTACTATTACTTGAAAGTAGTAGATTTCATAGGATACTGTTATAAAATCTTTTTAACCTCTTTTCTGATTTCAGGAGTAATTAGTAATTGTGGTTTACTGGAAAATTCAATGAATAGGGTGTTAAAGGAAGCAATTCATTAATAATATATGTAATCTATTGGGAGACTGAGGCGGGTGGATCACCTGAGTTCAGGAGTTCGAGACCAGCCTGGCCAACATGGCAAAACTCCGTCTCTACTGAAAATAGAAAAATTCGCCGGGCATGGTGGTGCATTCCTGTATTCCCAGGTACTCGGAAGGCTGAGGCAGGAGAATCACCTGAACTCCAGAGGTGGAGGTTGCAGCGAGTCAGGATCGCAGCACTACACTCCAGCCTGGGTGACAGTGAGACTCCATCTCAAAAAAAAAAAAAAAAAAAAAAAAAAAAAAATTAAAAAATTAAATTAAAAGCGGGCTGGGCGCATTGGTTCAGGGCCGGGCACGGTGGCTCAAGCCTGTAATCCCAGCACTTTGGGAGGCCGAGGCAGGCGGATCACGAGGTCAGGAGATCAAGACCATCCTGGCTAATGTGGTGAAACCCCGTCTCTACTAACAATACAAAAATTAGCTGGATGTGGTGGCAGGTGCCTGTAATCCCAGCTATTCCAGAGGCTGAGGCAGGAGAATCACTTGAACCTGGGAGGCAGAGGTTTCAGTGAGTCCAGATCATGCCACTGCACTCCAGCCTGGGTGACAGAGCGAGATTCTATCTCAAAAAAAAAAAAAAAAAAAGCAACAGAAGCAAATGAGAGTGCCTGGGAGTGGTCATTGTGGGGCCTTCCCGTTTGTGTGACCCAGGTCATGTCCCTCCCTAAGCCCTGGTCTCTCTTGCCTCCTGCAGGGCTGGTGAATTACCAGATCTCCGTCAAGTGCAGTAACCAGTTCAAGTTGGAAGTGTGTCTTTTGAATGCAGAAAACAAAGTCGTGGACAACCAGGCTGGGACCCAGGGCCAGCTGAAGGTGCTGGGTGCCAACCTCTGGTGGCCGTACCTGATGCACGAACACCCCGCCTACCTGTACTCGTGGGAGGTAATGGTGGTTTGGGACTTGCGTAAGGGAGGTCTTTTGCCCCCATCTGGTAGCCCTGGCTTCAGCAGGAGCCCAGGACAGGTGAACGGGCAGGTGTGGTCCTCTGAGCTTTCTGATGTTTCCCACCCTTGGTGGGAGGCCCAGATTTTTTATTTATTTATTTATTTATTTATTTATTTATTTATTTGTTTGTTTTTGTGATGGTCTCACTCTGTCACCCAGGCTGGAATGCAATGGCCTGATCACAGCTCACTGCAGCTTTGAGCTGCAATCCTCCTACCTTGGCCTCCTGAGTAGCTGGGACTACAGGCACATGCCACCATGCCTGGCTAATTAAAAAAATTTTTTTTGTAGGCCGGGCATGGTGGCTCACACCTGTAATCCCAGCACTTCGGGAGGCTGACGCGGGCGGATCACTTTAGGCCAGGAGTTGGAGACCAGCCTGGCCAACATGGTGAAACCCCGTCTCTACTAAAATATGAAAATTTGCAGGGCATGATGGTGCACGTCTGTAATCCCAGCTACTCGGGAGGCTGAGGCAGGGGAATTGCTTGAACCCAGGAGGCAGGGGCTGCGGTGAATTGAGATCATGCCGCAGCACTCTATCCTGGGTGACAGAGTGAGACTGTCTCAAAAAAAAAAAACTCCTTTTTATAGAGTTGGGGTCTTACTAGGTTGCCCAGGCTGGTCTTGAACTCCTGGACTCAGGTGATCCTCCTGCCTTAGCCTCCCAAAGTGTAGGGATTCCAGGCATGAGCCACCTCGTCTGGTCAAGGAGAAGGCCTGATTTTGAAGGGCAGGTCCCAGGGTCAGCCAGTGAAGGGCAGAGCCTCTGATTGCTGCTTCTCTGCAGGCCCAGTGGCGACTTCTGGGGTGCATGCACGAGGGGTCTTCCTGCTGTAGGGCAGGCCAGATGGGGCTCAGGCTGTCGGGGCGCTCACACCTGGCGCTTTGGCTGTCGTAGGTGCGGCTGACTGCACAGAAGTCACTGGGGCCTTTGACTTCTACACACTCCCTGTGGGGCTCCGCACTGTGCCCGTCACCGAGAGCCAGTGGGTGAGAGCCAGTTTCATTTGCGGTAGAGGCAGCAGAGGTTGTAGAAATGCTCCTTGAGGCAGATGCCACACCCCAATTTCATGGAGTGATTTGGGCTGAGCCGAGTCTGCAGCAGGCAGAAGGCTCTGAGATGTTGTCCTAGCCTGGGCAAAGGACAATTCAGAGCTCGGGGGAATAGGGGTGTGCTCAGCACGACTGGGTGGACAGGCCGTTTGTTGTGAATCGTACAGGCTTCCAGGAGCGGGTGCCTGAGGCTTCCAGACAGGCTTTGGGAGGTGGCCAGAGGAGATGCCTGTTTCCGGGGCAGGAAATGGAGGGAGGGCCCAGGCTGGAGAGGTTCAGCCAGGCTGTCACAAGGCTTTGAAGCTTCCCATCTGAGAGCCTGGCTATTGGAGAGTGTGGGTTTGGAACTTGAGGCTAGGAGGTTCTATTCTGTCCTGTGCCAGCCACAGCCTTCGGATGGGCAGAGCAATGATGGGGGGAAGATGTAAAAGAAAAGAACTGAGGAAAGAAGAAGAAAACCAGCTTCAACAACGGTCTAGGCCGGATGCGGTGGGTCACGCCTGTAATCCCAGCAGTTTGGGAGGCTGAGGTGGGTGGATCACCCGAGGTCAGGAGTTCGAGACCAGCCTGGTCAACAGGTAGTGAATCCTGTCTCTACTAAAAATACAAAAATTAGCTGGGCATGGTGGTGGACGTCTGTAATCCCAGCTACCAGGTAGGCTGAGGCAGGAGAATCGCCTCAGGTGAACCAGGAGGCAGAGATTGCAATGAGCTGAGATAATGCCACTGCATTCCAGCCTGGGCTACAGAATGAGACTCTGTATCTCAACAAAACAAAACAAAACAAAAACACAACAGTCTGTTCTGTGGAGGCCTTGGGCAGATGCTGGGAGCTCTGAGCACGGACTGGTCCCTCTGTTGGGAGCCTCTTCCCTTCATCCCTCCTGGTTAACTTGACTCAGCATAAAGGCCATTTCTTCTAAGAGCCTGTCCCTGACTCTCCAATCGGGGATGTGTCTGTTGTCTCATAGAGTGCCCAATTCCTGCCACCACTTGTCATTTCCATTCGCAACATTTCTTTCATTGTTTGTTTTTCAGAGTCAGGGTCTCACTCTGTTGCCCAGGCTGGAGTGCAGTGGTGCAATCATAGCTCGTTGCCATCTCGACCTCCTGGGCTTAAGCGATCCTCCCCACTCAGCCTCCCAAATAGCTGGGACCACAGACGTGCGCTGCCTTGCCAGGCTAAATTTTAATATTTTTTTTTCCCCACGAGTCAGAGTCTTGCTCTGTCTCCCAGGCTGGAGAGCAGTGTTGCGATCTTGGCTCACTGCATCCTCTACCTCCTGGGTACAAACAGTTCTCCTGCCTCACCCTCCCGAGTAGCTGGGATTACAGGCTCACGCCACCATGCCCAGCTAGTTTTCTTCTTTATTTTTTGTTGAGATGGGGTTTCACCATGTTGGCCAGGCTGGTCTCGAACTCTTGAGCTCGTGATCCACCTGCCTTGGCCTCCCAAAGTGCTCACAGGCTTGAGCCACCATGCCCGGCCCTAATTTTTAAATTTGTTGTAGAAACAAGGTCTTGCTATGTTGTCCAGGCTGGTCTCAAGCGCCTGGTCTCAAGTAAGCCTCCCAAAGTGCTGGGGTTCTAGGCTTGAGCCACCTCGCCTGGCACTTGCACCGTTTTTCTGTGCATGCATCTCCACTCCCACTGCCCAGGACCTGTGGACTTAGATTTGAGTCATTACTGAGCACCTAGCACCCAGCCTCATGCCTACCTCCCACCTCGCACTACCTGTTTGCTTGATGCATTAATAAATATTCCACCTGAATCCACAGCCCATTCACTCCTGTGTTCAAGAGCTATTTCAGGAAGTGAACCTCATTTCTGGCAGTGTTCAGTCCAGTGACCTCAGCTCTGTGTACCCGGCAGGGTGGCTACGCCTCTGGGGGAGTTGGATTCAGGGGTGGGGGAGAAAGAGTGTTGTTAGAGAGCTCGGTCTAGGACTAGAGGAACGTGCCCTTATGTAAAATACATCTCAAGTTAGGGAAGAAAGCAGCGGCTCTGTGCTTTGTTTTTTTTTTTTTTTTTCTTTTCTTTCTTTTTTTTTGTTTGTTTGTTTGTTTGTTTGTTTGTTTGTTTGTTTTGGGGCAGGGTCTTGCTCTGTGGCCCAGGCTGGAGTGCAGTAGCGTGATTTCGGCTCACTGCAACCTCCACCTCCCGGGTTCAAGCAATTCTTGTGCCTCAGCCTCCCGAGTAGCTGGAGTTACAGATGCGTGCCACTAAGCCTGGCTAATTTTTGTATATTTAGTAGAAATGGGGTTTTGCCATGTTGGCCAGGCTGTTCTTGAACCCCTGACCTCAGTGATCTGCCTGCCTCAGCCTCCTGAAGTGCTGGGATTACAGGCGTGAGCCGTCGTGCCTGGCCCCCAGTTGTGTTCTGGCAGGGGAAGATGGGACAGAGAGGATGGGAGGGTGTCTGAGCCTTTCCCGGACTGACGGAACCTGTGTCTTCTCTCTTTTGTGGACAGGATGGTGATTGCTCACACCAAAGCCTTGGACCCCTCCCAGCCTGTGACCTTTGTGACCAACTCCACCTACGCAGCAGACAAGGGGGTGAGCCTGGGGGTCCCCACCCCATTTCTCCCTGCCTTTGCCTGGGCTTGTCCTGAAGCCTGCTCATGGGAACAGCTGGAAAGAACCATGTGCTGCCAGTCTGAGCTTTTTATTTTGTTTTACTTAGAAAGATAGAGACAGGGTCTTGCCATGTTGCCCAGGCTGGTCTCGAACTCCTGGGCTCAAGTGATCCTCCTGCCTCGGCCTTCCAAAGGGCTGGGGTTACAGGCGTGTGCCACCGCACTCAGCCGCAGCCAGTCTGTTTTCAAAGATGGTCTTTGGGTTAATGACAATTCTCTCTCTGCTTACTCTCCAGGCAGTGTGGCTTTCTGAATCCAAGGAGGCTGGGCATAGGGAGATGGGATTTGTTTGCCCGGTTTGGACTCAGCATTTTTTGTACTCGATTTAATAGACTCATAAAATGTCAAAGGTTTAAGTGAGCTTAGAGTTCATCTGGCCCAAACCTGGCTGATCAGAATCTCCAGGGGAAGTTTTATTGAAATGCCAGATCTCTGCGTTCTGAGATCCTGATTTAGTAACTCCAGGGTTGGAACCTGAGTTTTTTGTTTTTTTGTGTGTGTGTGTGAAGGCAAGGTCTTACTCTGTTGCTCTGGCTGGAGTGCAGTGGTGTGATCACAGCTCACTGCAGCCTTGAATTCCTGGGCCTAAGCAACCCTCTTGCCTCAGCCTTCCAAGTAGCTGGGACTCCGGGGGTACACCACTGTGCCCGGCTAATTTTAAATGTTTTTGTAGAGATGGGATCTCACTATGTTGCCCAGGCCAGTCTCAAACTCTTGAGCTCAAGTGATCCTCCTGCCTTAGCCTCCTAAAGTGCTGGGATTACAGGCATGAGCCACCGTGCCTGGCTGATACTAGCATTCTTTTTTATTTTTTATTATTTTTTTAAGATAGAGTCTTGCTCTGTTGCCCAGGCTGGAGTGCAGTGGCACAGTCTCAGCTCAGTGCAACCTCCGCCTCCCAGGTTCAAGCAATTCTCCTGCCTCAGCCTCCCAAGTAGCTGGGATAACAGGCACATGCCACCACGCCTGCGCTTGATCGTGGGAGGCAGAGCTTGCATTATTGTGCCACTCCATTCTAGCCTGGGCAACAGAGCGAGACTCTGTCTTCCAAACAAAGCGGAAAAAGATTATCTGCGAGAATGACTGCATTGGCCCCTTGGGTGGGAGGGCTTCTCCAGGGCAAGGTGAGGGGATGCCCAGTGCTGGGAGTGCTGCCTGGAGAGGAGTCAGTTCCAGTGGCGGGGGCCCTGGGTTTTGGCTGAGGACTGCGTGTTGGCAGCTGCTCTGCCTCTCACAGCCCTTCCCAGCTGCACACGTCGTGAGCGTCAGTGTGCAATCACAGGCCTGCCTCCTTTGGGCCACTTTGTGACCATGTTTTTTGCTTGTGGGGCAGGGTAATTTCAGGATCTAAATTGGTGCAGTTGGATGTTCTCAGCCCCGAGAGGCAGCTCTTCCCGTTGTAGGCTTTTTGTTTTGTTTTGTAGAAATGGAGTCCTACGACGTTGCCCAGGCTGCTCTCAAACTCCTGGGCTCAAGTGATCCTCCCACCTTGGCCTCCCAATGTGCTGGGATTACAGGCATGAGCCACTGTGCCGTGCTGATTTTCTTGATACTATTTTTTGTAGAGCTGGGGTCTTGCTGTGTTGCCCAGGCTGGTCTCGAACTCCTGGCCACAAGCCACCCTCCTGCCTCAGCCTCCCAGAGTGCTGGGATTACATCCCCTTCTTACCTTCTCTGTCAGAGGAGCCCCCACAGCATGTGAGTACTGAGTCATGCGGTCTTGTGGTTGCTGAACGGGCTCTGCTGCTCTGGTCCTAGGCTCTGTATGTGGATGTGATCCGTGTGAACAGCTACTACTCTTGGTATCGCAACTACGGGCACCTGGAGTTGATTCAGCTGCAGCTGGCCGCCCAGTTTGAGAATTGGTGTAAGACATCACAATCCCATTATTCAGAGCGCGTATGGAGTGGAAACGCTTGTAGGGTTTCACCAGGTAAGCGGTGTTGAACTTTCTGCTTGTGTATTCTCTCTGGGCAGAGATGCCACTTGCCTCCCCCACCATGCCATCTCTGAAGAATATTACAGACCATTTTGGAGCATGGTGAATAAGAAATTTTCACCTTAGGAGTTCAGTTGAATAGTCATTTTTATATTTGTGACTGCAAGTCACTCTTAGGGGCTGTACTTCCTTAGTACTGGTAGCATTATTATCCAATGGACTTTTATAGCTTTCATTAGGTTTTCTTTTGTTTTTGTTCTTTAAAGAACGTTTTACTTATCTTAGTATTTCATTTTTCATCTATATTATGAGGCAGTAAGAGTCTTCTGTTTTTCCAAAGTTGAGACTGCTTTATATTTATTTCGTATTGTCTACAGCTGTAGTGTTCAATACATTAGCCACTAGCCACATGTGGTTATTTAAATAAGATAAAATAAAAATTGGCCGGGCGTGGTGGGTCACGCCAGTAATCCCAGCACTTTGGGAGGCCGAGGCGGGCAGATCATTAGGTCAGGAGATCGAGACCATCCTTACTAAGACGGTGAACCCCCATCTCTATTAAAAATACAAAAAATTAGCCGGGCGTGGTGGCGGGCGCCTGCAGTCCCAGCTACTCAGGAGGCTGAGGCAGGAGAATGGCGTGAACCTGGGAGGCAGAGTTTGCAGTGAGCCGAGATGGCGCCACTGCACTCCAGCCTGGGGGACAGAGCGAGACTCCATCTCAAAAAAAAAAAAGAAAATTAAAAATTAAGTTCTTTAGTTGCACTAGCCATATTTCAAATACTTGATGGATACATGTGGCTAGTGGCTAACATAAGGGATAGCACAGATATAAAACATTTCCTCGTCATATAAAGTTCTATTGGATAGTGCTGGTCTGTAGCTTATAGGATGGTATCTTAGTCTGCTTCAGCTGCTAAAACAGAATACCATAAATTAGGTAGCTTAAACAGTAGATATTTTGACCAGGCGTGGTGGCTTATGCCTGTATTCCTAACACTTTGGGAGGCCGAGGCAGGTGGATAACTTGAGCTCAGGAGTTTGAGACTAGCCTGGGCAGCATGGCAAAACCTTGTCTCTACGAAAATTAGCTGGGCGTGGTGGTGCACGCCTGTAGTCTGAGCTACTTGGGAGGCTGAGGTGGGAGAATTGCTTGAACCTGGGAGGCGGAGGTTGCAGTGAGCCATGATCGCACCACTGTACTCCAGCCTGGATGACAGAATGAGACTCTGTCTCAAAAAAAACAAAAACAAACAAACAAAAAAAAACAGATATTTCTCACAGTTCTGCAGACTGGAAGTGCAAGATCAAAGTGTTGGCAAATTATGTTTCTTAAAGAGGGCCTGCTTCCTAGATTGGAAATGGCCATCTTCTCTCGGTATCCTCACATGGCAGGGAGAAAAGCAGCTCTAGTGTCTTTTCTTATAAAGGAAGTAATGCCACCATAGGGGCTCTATTCTCATGACCTCATCTAAACCTAATTCTCTCCTAAAGGCCACGCCTCCCAGTATCCTCACCTTGGGGGTTAGGGCTTTATCATATGAATTTTTTTTTTTTTTTTTTTTTTTTGAGACAGAGTCTCGCTCTGTCTGTCACCCAGGCTGGAGTGCAGTGGCACAATCTCGGCTCTCTACAAGCTCCGCCTCCTGGGTTCACGCCGTTCTCCTGCGTCAGCCTCCTCAGTAGCTGGGACTAAGGCGCCCGCCACTGCGCCCGGCTAATTTTTTGTATTTTCAGTAGAGACGGGGTTTTACCATGTTAGCCAGGATGATCTCGATCTCCTGACCTCATGATCCACCCGCCTCGGCCTCCCAAAGTGCTGGGATTACAGGCATGAGCCACCGCGCCGGGCCTATCATATGAATTTTGAGGGAACACAAACATGCAGTCTGTAGCAGATGGTAATAGGCTGACATATTACACTTGTTGATGTAAATCTGATAGGTTTCTTTCTCTCCAAGGACAGCTTTTTAAATATTTAACAGTATCAATAATTTTTCAGGTTCTGTGAGAATTTTATAATTTATAATTTGCAGACTTAATGTATAATCTATTTTGTCCTAACAATTACAAATATATTTTTTATTTCAGATTGTATATATTCCTACCAGATGGAGATAATTACAGCTTTAAAAATTTTTATTTTTTCATTTTATTTCACACATTGACATTAAATTTTTATGGACACATAATAACTGTACATATATATGGGGTAGAATGTGATGTTTTAATACATGTACTCAATGTGTAATGATCAAATCAGGGTAATTTGCATAATGATTTTTCTGTAGGGAGAAAATTCAAAATCTACTCTTCTGGCTATTTTCAAATATATAATATGTTATTGTTAACTATACTCATCCTACTATGCAATAGGACACCAGAACTTATTCCTGGGTTCTACATCCGTTAAGGCAACCAAGGATTGGAAATATTGGAAAAAAAAATTGCGTCTGTACTGAATATGTACAGACTTTTTTCTTGTCCTTATTCCTTACACAATATAGTACAATAACTATTTGCATGACATTTACATCGGATATTATGAGTGATCTAGAGTTGATATGAAGTATATGGGAGGATGTGCAAAGGTGATGTGCAAATACTATGTCATTTTATATCAGGGACTTGAGTATCCTTTGTTACCCTCAGGAGATCCTGAAACCAGTCCCCCATGGATACTGAGGGCTGACTGTATAGTCCTATCCTCACGGAACTTTCATTCTAATGGGGGAAGACTGACTATAAACAAAATATATGTAATAGGTGGTGGTAAGTACCGTGGAGAAGTAACAAACGGGGCAAAGTGAGTTATACAGCTCCATTCTTAGAAACCTTGGAGTACTTTTCTTAGTTTATACTCGTGGTGGTTTCCTTTTGTCTCCTTTATTACATGGGACTCTGACATGTGCCCATAGCTAGGGTGACAGTAGGATCTACCCGATAGTAGGGTGGCAGTAGGATCTACCCAAAAAGCGTCCTGCTGATACAGGACCAAAGCATCCTGTTGTTCTCGAGCCTATAAAAAGAGCTAATGGTCTTGCTTCTCTTAACTGTGGCCTCCTACACTGTGTTTTGGATGATTGGTGATGTCTTGGATATTCTGTTTCTTTGGAACTTTGAATATACAACACTTTACTAGGGAATTAGCAATGGAAGCAGAGCAAAGATGTACAGAGGAAACAATGCGTAACTCTGATGGAATTGAAGTCATGAGGCAGCAGAGAGCTTAAATTACAGCTTTAAAAATTTTTATTTTTTAGAGGGAATTTACTTGGGAGTAACAGCAGTAATAGTTAACGGAGCCAGAATGCTTGAGTCATATAATTGCAAAGCAGAGTTGGGAGCAACAGATGCTAAAGAGTAGTTGCTGTAGTTCCTCTTTGGGTCGTAGGAGCAGTTGTCATATTACTATATAGCTACTGCATGAAGAAGAGTTCTTAGTGAGGCCTGGGTGAACAGCTCTTCTTAGTATTCTGTGTGACCCCATTTGACCTTTTAACAAATCCCTAAGTAAATAAATAGCCCCTCAGGAAAACTAAGTTTTTCTCTGCTGTTTTTTTGCTTGAGAGAGCTATAACTGTAATAGACTTATATTTCTGAACATTTTAGTGCTTGCCAATATTTGGTAATATTTATGTTTCCTATATTTGTAATGAACATTCTTCTTCCGGTACATTTTTTGTTAAATTATTGTTTGATGGATAAAAGTTCACCTTTTATTGTATAAAATTGACTGAGATTAATTTATACACATTGACAATGGGTAAATAGAATTTTTCAGATTATTAAAAGCTGAAGGATGCCCACGTAAGCAAAAAAAAAAAAGAAAAAACCAACAAAAATAAACCCAAACCCCTCAAACAATTTCGAACACGAAACATTCTTCTGATGCCGGCATCCCTGCTTGCAGGTGTGAAGGGGGCAGGAATCAGCGAGGTGTCCTGGGCTGAGTCCCCGGAGTGGGAAGAGGTGGCAGGAAGGGGATCTGAGGAGGAGAACAGGGGTCCTGGTGGTCTGTGCTTCTTCCCAGACACGGGAGCTGTAGAGGAGACCTCTGCAGCAGATGCTAGGGGGGCCAGTAGGCCCAGGCAGTCTTGGGACTTGGGTCTGTCCTGCTGTGCATCCATAGTGGGTGCTTTAGAAACGGGAGGCCCACCCGAAGCCCCTGTTGCAAGTGAGGACAAAGTGTGGGAAGGCCGTGAGGGTCTGCAGTCCGAGATGGCCTTGTCCTCAACGTGCAGTGCAGTGTTGATGCGGGGCCTAGAGGCCTGGGATCTGGGGGAGCCACCCCTGGGGGCAAGTGTCTGCCCTGGTGCTGTACCTGCCTTCTTCTCACAGCGGGTGTGACCCGAAGAGACAGCCTGAGGTCCGTCCTCACTCACTGTGTTTGAGGAACTGTGGGCCAGCTGGCAGTGGGATGAGGCTGGCCCCCTCCTCCGCTTTAGTTGCGGGAGGCCTTCCGTAGAGCTGTGGGAGCTGGAGCTGGCATTTCCTTGGAGGCAGGATCTGGTCCGGGAGGTCTGGGATCTCTGGTTATATCTCACTTCTGACCTCTGGACACGTGCTGCAGCTGTGGCTGAGGCCAAGAAATGTGAGGGGCCTCCATCCACTGCATTGAGTAGTGACCCCGACGTGGGGTTCAATGTGGAGGGGGGAGGGGCTGCTGCTGCAGCTGCAGGAGCCGAGGTGCCAGGCCTTGTTCTTCTCATGCCGGCATCGCTGCTTGCAGCTGTGAAGGGCGCGGGAATCAGCGAGGTGACCTGGGCTGAGTCCCGTGAGTGGGAAGAGGTGGCAGGAAGGGGATCTGAGGAGGAGAACAGGGGTCCTGGTGGTCTGTGCTTCTTCCCAGACACGGGAGCTGTAGAGGGGACCTCTGCAGCAGATGCTAGGGGGGCCAGTAGGCCCAGGCAGTCTTGGGACTTGGGTCTGTGCTGCTGTGCATCCATAGTGGGTGCTTTAGAAACGGTAGGCCCACCCGAAGCCCCTGTTGCAAGTGAGGACAAAGTGTGGGAAGGCCGTGAGGGTCTGCAGTCCGAGATGGCCTTGTCCTCAACGTGCAGTGCACTGTTGATGCGGGGCCTAGAGGCCTGGGATCTGGGGGAGCCACCCCTGGGGGCGAGTGTCTGCCCTGGTGCTGTACCTGCCTTGTTTTCACAGCGGTGACCCGAAGAGACAGCCTGAGGTCCGTCCTCACTCACTGAGGAACTGTGGGCCAGCTGGCAGTGGGATGAGGCTGGCCCCCTCCTCCGCTTTAGTTGCGGGAGGCCTTCCGTAGAGCTGTGGGAGCTGGAGCTGGCATTTCGTTTGAGGCACGATCTGGTCCGGGAGGTCTGGGATCTCTGGTTATATCTCACTTCTGACCTCTCGACACGTGCTGCAGCTGTGGCTGAGGCCAAGAAATGTGCGGGGCCTCCATCCACTGCATTGAGTAGCGACCGCGACGTGGGGTTCAATGTGGAGGGGGGAGGGGCTGCTGCGGCAGCTGCAGGAGCCGAGGTGCCAGGCCTTGTTCTTCTCATGCCGGCATCCCTGCTTGCAGCTGTGAAGGTGGCAGGAATCAGCGAGGTGACCTGGGCTGAGTCCCGGGAGTGGGAAGAGGTGGCAGGAAGGGGATCTGAGGAGGAGAACAGGGGTCCTGGTGGTCTGTGCTTCTTCCCAGACACGGGAGCTGTAGAGGGGACCTCTGCAGCAGATGCTAGGGGGGCCACTAGGCCCAGGCAGTCTTGGGACTTGGGTCTGTCCTGCTGTGCGTCCATAGTGGGTGCTTTAGAAATGGGAGGCCCACCCGAAGCCCCTGTTGCAAGTGAGGACAAAGTGTGGGAAGGCCGTGAGGGTCTGCAGTCCGAGATGGCCTTGTCCTCAACGTGCAGTGCACTGTTGATGTGGGGCCTAGAGGCCTGGGATCTGGGGGAGCCTCCCCTGGGGGCGAGTGTCTGCCCTGGTGCTGTACCTGCCTTGTTTTCACAGCGGTGACCCGAAGAGACAGCCTGAGGTCCGTCCTCACTCACTGTGTTTGGGGAACTGTGGGCCAGCTGGCAGTGGGATGAGGCTGGCCCCCTCCTCCGCTTTAGTTCCTGGAGGCCTTCCGTAGAGCTGTGGGAGCTGGAGCTGGAGCTGGCATTTCGTTTGAGGCAGGATCTGGTCCGGGAGGTCTGGGATCTCTGGTTATATCTCACTTCTGACCTCTGGGCACGTGCTGCAGCTGTGGCTGAGGCCAAGAAATGTGAGGGGCCTCCATCCACTGCATTGAGTAGTGACCCCGACGTGTTGTTCAATGTGGAGGGGGGAGGGGCTGCTGCGGCAGCTGCAGGAGCCGACCTTGTTCTTCTCATGCCGGCATCCCTGCTTGCAGCTGTGAAGGTGGCAGGAATCAGCGAGGTGACCTGGGCTGAGTCCCGGGAGTGGGAAGAGGTGGCAGGAAGGGGATCTGAGGAGGAGAACAGGGGTCCTGGTCGTCTGTGCTTCTTCCCAGACACGGGAGCTGTAGAGGGGACCTCTGCAGCAGATGCTAGGGGGGCCACTAGGCCCAGGCAGTCTTGGGACTTGGGTCTGTCCTGCTGTGCGTCCATAGTGGGTGCTTTGGAAACGGGAGGCCCACCCGAAGCCTCTGTTGCAAGTGAGGACAAAGTGTGGGAAGGTCGTGAGGGTCTGCAGTCCGAGATGGCCTTGTCCTCAACGTGCAGTGCAGTGTTGATGTGGGGCCTAGAGGCCTGGGATCTGGGGGAGCCACCCCTGGGGGCGAGTGTCTGCCCTGGTGCTGTACCTGCCTTGTTTTCACAGCGGTGACCCGAAGAGACAGCCTGAGGTCCATCCTCACTCACTCTGTTTGAGGAACTGTGGGCCAGCTGGCAGTGGGATGAGGCTGGCCCCCTCCTCCGCTTTACTTCCTGGAGGCCTTCCGTAGAGCTGTGGGAGCTGGAGCTGGCATTTCGTTTGAGGCACGATCTGGTCCGGGAGGTCTGGGATCTCTGGTTATATCTCACTTCTGACCTCTGGACACGTGCTGCAGCTGTGGCTGAGGCCAAGAAATGTGAGGGGCCTCCATCCACTGCATTGAGTAGTGACCCCGACGTGGGGTTCAATGTGGAGGGGGGAGGGGCTGCTGCGGCAGCTGCAGGAGCCGACCTTGTTCTTCTCATGCCGGCATCCCTGCTTGCAGCTGTCAAGGGGACAGGAATCATCGAGGTGACCTGGGCTGAGTCCCGGGAGTGGGAAGAGTTGGCCGGAAGGGGATCTGAGGAGGAGAACAGGGGTCCTGGTGGTCTGTGCTTCTTCCCAGACACGGGAGCTGTAGCGGGGACCTCTGCTGCAGATGCTAGGGGGGCCACTAGGCCCAGGCAGTCTTGGGACTTGGGTCTGTCCTGCTGTGCATCCATAGTGGGTGCTTGAGAAACGGGAGGCCCACCCGAAGCCCCTGTTGCAAGTGAGGACAAAGTGTGGGAAGGCCGTGAGGGTCTGCAGTCCGGGATGGCCTTGTCCTCAACGTGCAGTGCACTGTTGATGCGCTGGAATGCCTTCTCTTTTTCCAGGTGCAGGTCTTCAGCCGTGACCCGGTACCCCAGCTCTAAGGGAGGTGGCAGCATCAAAGGCTCCCCTCGCCTGCGTGGCAGCAGGGGAATCTTGCGTCTACGGGGCCTAGAGTCCTGGGATCTGGGGGAGCCACCCGTTGGGGCGATTGTCTGCCCTGGTGCTGTATCTGCCCCCTTTTCACACCGTGTGTGACCCGAAGAGACAGCCTGAGGCCTGTCCTCACTCACTGTCTTTGAGTAACTGAGGGTCAGCTGGCAGCGGGATGAGGCTGGCCCCCTCCTCTGCTTTAGCCCCGGCAAGCCTCCCGTGGAGCTGTAGGAGCTGGAGATGGCATTTCGTTTGGTGCTCGAGCTCGTCCAGGATGTCTGGGATGTGTGGTTATATCTGATTTCTGAGCTCTGGGCGTGGAGGTCTGTCTGCAGAGGCCCGGGCCTGGGCACAAAGGGAGAGGGGCCTCCATTGTCCCGCAGGGGCCAAAATGCAGACCGTGCATCCCCGGTGACCTCGGGGACCGTTCTCTGATCATCAGGATTTTCTTGGACTCTGGGGTCCTTGTGCTGCTCAGGCATCCCTGCCCCGCTCTCCTTGAGGGCCCTCAACACTATCTTCCCTGGACACAAGTCTGGGGACAGCCGGGTGTTGTGGACCCCAAAGGGGTGACTACCTGCTCCTGGGCCCCACAGAGTCCTTGTGCTCAGTGTAGTGGCTGAGCTGGGGGATGCCCTGGAACTCAGAGCACACAGCACTGGCTTACTGTGGTACCTGTGCAGTGAAGTTGAAGACAGAATCACCAGGATGGGACACAGGTCTTGCAGGATCACGGAAAACCTTCTTAGAGTTGTCTTGACACCACTGATGTCGAGTGTGCGGGTGTTTGTAGGATGGCCTGCCACTCAGTCCAGGGGCAGGAGCAACGGGGAGATCCCACAAGCAAAGTGAACTGGGGGATGGGCTGAAGGGGCTCCAGGCAACTGAGCCCTACTCGCAGGTCCTCGGCCTTGGCCCAAACAGGAATGAGGGGCACAGAGTGCCCGGGTAACCGCTCCTGGGAGCAGTGGGGAACTGTCGGATACTTGAACTCTCAAGAGCTGGGCTCTGAGCGTCCTCGTCCAGCTGCCAACTTGGCCAAAGGCTAAGCCAGCAGATTGTTCTGTTGCCGGGCAACGCGACTTCTAAACCTGAGGGAGTGGGCATGTGAGCACATAATGGCACCAGTGACAGAGCGACCATAATGGATGAATAAGCGCAGCCAGGTACCCGCGCAAGGCACCTGCTGGCAATGGCAGGAGGCGGACGTGGGGGGTCGTGCAGTAGGTACTGGAGGGAGAGACGTGGGCACAAAGGTCGCGGGAGGAACAGGTGCCCACAATGGCTGCATATTTGCCCGTGGATCACTGAAGATTCCTGCTCTCCTGCTGAGGTGGAGACTGCAGTGAGCTGAGATCGCACCATTGCACTCCAGCCTGGGCAACGAGTGCAAAACTCAGTCTCCAGATAAAAAAAAGAAAAAGAAAAAAAAGAGGCCGGGTGTGGTGGCTTATGCCTATGATCCTAGCACTTTGGGAGGTCGGGGTGGACGGATCACGAGATCAGGAGTTGGAGGCCAGCCTGGCCAACATAGTGAAAGCCCGTCTCTAGTAAAAATACAAAATTTAGTCAGACATGGTGGGCAGGAGAGAGCATGTGCAGGGGAACATCCATTTATAAAACCATCAGACCTCATGAGACTTATTCACTACCATGAGAACAGCATGGGGGAAACTGCCTCCATGATTCAGTTATCTCCACCTGGCCCCACCCTTGACACATGGGAATTGTTACAATTCAAGATGAGATTTGGGTGCGGACAGAGCCAAACCATATAATTCTTCCCCGGCCCCTCCCAAATCTCATGTCCTCATATTTCAAAAGCAATCATGCCTTCCCCTAAGTCCCCCAAACTCTTATTTCAGCATTAACTCAAAATTCCATAGTCCAAAGTCTCATCTGAGACAAGGCAAGTCCCTTCCACCTATGAGCCTGTAAAATCAAAAGCAAGTTAGTTATTTTCTAGATACACAGGGATACAGGCATTGGGTAGATACACTCGTTTCAAATGGGAGAAATTGGCCAAAGCGAAAGAGCTACAGGCCCCATGCAAGTCCAAAACCCAGCAGGCAAATCTTAAAGCTCCAAAATGACCTCCTTTGACTCCATGTGTCACATCTAGGTGATGCAAGAAGTGGGTTCCCAGGGTCTTGGGCAGCCCCGCCCCTGTGGCTTTGCAGGGTACAGCCCCCCTTCTGGCTGCATTGAGTGTCTGCAGCTTTTCTAGGCACACAGTGCAAGCTGTCAGTGGATCTACCATTCTGGGGTCTGGAGGATGGTGGCCCTTTTCTCACAGCTCTGCTTGGCAGTACCCCAGTGGGGACTCTGTGTGGGAGCTCCAACCCCATATTTCCCTTTGACACTGCCCTAGCAGAGGTTATCCATGAGGGCCCCCCCCTCCCCTCCCCCCCACAGCAAACTTTTGCCTGGATTTCCAGGCATTTTCATACATCTTCTGAAATGTAGGCGGAGGTTCATGAACGTTAATTCTTGACTTCGGTGCATCTGCAGGCTTAACACCACCTAGAACCTGAAAGGCTTGGAACTTGCACCCTCTGAAGCCATGGCCTGAGGTGTACCTTGGCCCCTTTTACCTATGGCAGGAGCAGCTGGGATGCAGGGCCCCAAGTTCCTAGGCTGCACACAGCAGGGGGTTCTGGACCCACAAAACCATTTTTCCTTCTAAGCCTCCTGGCCTGCGATGGGAGGGTCTGCTGTGAGGGTCTCTAACATGCCCTGGAGATATTTGCCCCATTGTCTTGGTGATTAACATTTGGCTCCTCATTACTTATGCAAATTTCTACAACCCAGTCTCCTGAGAAAATAGATTTTTCTTTTCTGTTGCATCATCAGGCTACAAATTTTCTGAAATTTTATGCTCTGCTTCTTCTCGAATGCTTTGCTGCTTAGAAATTTCTTCTGTCAGATACCTTAAATCATCTCTCTCAAGTTCAAAGTTCCACAGATCTCTAGGCCCAGAAAAAAAAAATTAGCCTGGCATGGTGGCATGTGCCTGTAGTCCCAGCTACTCAGGAGTCTGAGGTGGGAGGATTGCTTGAGCCTGGGAAGTCCAGGCTGCAGTGAGTCAAGACTGCACCACTGCACTCCAGCGTAGGCAACAGAGCGAGTCTGTCTCATAAACAAATAAAAAATAAAATAAAAGACCCCACTGTGTTGTTGCCTATAACAATTCACCTTAAGGCTGGGTGCAGTGGCTCATGCCTGTAATCTCAACACTTAGGGTGGCAGAGGTGGGAGGACAGCTTGAGCCCAGGAGTTTGAGATCTGCCTGGGCAACATAGTGAGACCCCGTTACCCACAAAAAGGAAAAGGAAAAAACAAGAATTGACTTTAAATATAGTCACAGATAGATTAAAAAGAAAATAATCTAAAAGATGTAACATGAAAAAACTAATAAAGGCCTAAAAAATACTATCAAGGATAAAGAGGGATATTTCTGTTTTTTAGAGACAAAGTTTTACTCTGTCACCCAGGCCACAGTAC
Organism: Homo sapiens; assembly: GCF_000001405.40. NCBI lineage: Eukaryota > Metazoa > Chordata > Mammalia > Primates > Hominidae > Homo > Homo sapiens. The sequence goes on from NW_003315917.2 coordinate 928,577, forward strand.
AGTGGCACAATCATAGCTCATTGCAACCTATACTCCTGAGCTCAAGCGATTCTCCTGCCTCTGCCTCCCAGGTAGCTGGGACTACAGATGCATGCTACCACACCCTGTTTGTTTTAAAAATTTTTTGTAGAAATGGAGTCTAGCTATGTTGCAAAGGCTAGTCTCAAACTCCTCGCCTTGTGCACTCCTCCCACCTCAGCCTCCCAAAGTGCTGGGATTATAGGTGTGAACCACCATGCCTGCTTGGGATATTTAATATATTCTCTGGAATATGAAAGACCAAAGGGCAAAAAAATAGCTAAGACACACTCTTGAAGAGAAAGAACAAGACTATTCTGCAGGAAAATATGAAAATAAGCTCAACTGCCGGGCGCGGTGGCTCACACCTGTAATCCCAGCACTTTGGGAGGCTGAGGTGGGTGGATCACCTGAGGTTGGGAGTCCGAGACCAGCCTGACCAACATGGAGAAACCCCATCTCTACTAAAAATACAAAATTAGCTGGGCGTGGTGGCACATGCCTGTAATCCCAGCTACTCGGGAGGCTGAGGCAGGAGAATCACTTGAACCTGGGAGGCGGAGGTTGTGGTGAGCCGAGATCGTGCCATTGCACTCCAGCCTGGGCAACAAGAGTGAAACTCCGTCTCAAAAAAAAAAAAAAGAAAGAAAAAAAGAAGAAGAAAATAAGCTTAACATTATTAGTAATTACACTGACAAAAATTAAAATTTGGGCAATACCAAGTTAGTGAGGAAGCAAATCAATAGAAACGCATCTAGGCCAATGGGAATGTAAATCAGTGCAACCACTTGGGAAAAAGCTTTGCATTATCTAGTGGAGTTGAACACCCGCAAAGTTCTATGACTCTGCAATTCTTTACTTTGTTATGTATCCTAGAGAAACACACATGAGCACTGGAAAATATGTACAAGAATGTTCATAGGGCATTATTTGAATTTGCAACACTCTGAAAACGACCCACGAGGTTAATCAACAGTAAAATAAGTTATTATATATTCATAAAATAATACACTATTTACCAATGAAAACAAGTGAACTACAACTGTGTAGTACATATAAATATGGATGAATCTCAAAAACATCGTGGAGTAAAACCAGCCAATTACAAGAAGAATCATGCAGTATGCTTCTTATTTGAACTTCAAGAATAGACAAAGCTAAATATGTTTAAGGATGTATATGTAGTTCGTAAAACCACAAAGAGAAGCAAGGGAATAATTAACCCAAACTGAGCATCACATTTACCTCTGGATTGGAGGGACAGGGATATAATCAGAATTAGGGGGTGGTTGGCATGCAGAGTTGTTTTTTTTTTTATTTTTATTTTTTGAGACAGAGTCACGCTCTGTCGCCCAGGAGTGCAATGGCGCCATCTTGGCTCACTGCAACTTCCGCCTCCCAGGTTCAAGCCATTCTCCTGCCTCAGCCTCCCTAATAGCTGGGACTACAGGCGTGTGTCACCAGGCCCGGTTAAATTTTTCTGCTTTTTAACAGAGATGGGGTTTCACCATGTTGCCCAGGCTGGTCTCGAACTCTTGAGCTCAGACAATCTGCCCACATCGGCCTCCCAAAGTGCTGAGATTACAGGCGTGAGTCACTGCACCCGGCCGCAGGGGTCTTTTAAGGCATTGATAATGTCCAATTTCTTGACTTTACTAGGAGGTTCATAGGTTGCTTTTTATTCATTCTTTAAAGCATACATAAAAATTTTAGGTAATCATTTGGAGACATACTGGTTTGCAGTTTTTTTAAGAGGCAAAGGAAGAGTAAAAATCCAAAAAGGAGTTGGCTGGGAGCAGTGGCTCATGCCTGTAATCCAAGTACTTTGGGAGGCTGAAGCAGAAGGATCATTTGGAGCCAGGAGTTTGAGACCAGCCTGGGCAACAAAGCAAGACCCCATCTCTACAAAAAAAAACTTTAAAAAATTAGTCGGGCATGGTGACACATGCTTGTAGTCCTAGCTACTTGGGAGGCTGAGGTGGGAGGATCACTTGAGCCCAGGAATTTGAGGCTACAGTCAGCTAGGATTGTACCACTGCACTTGCTCCAGCCTGGGTGACAGAGCCGAGACCCAGTCTCTTAACAAAAAAACACTAAAGGCCAGGTGTGGCGGCTCACACCTGTAATCCCAGCACTTTGGGAGGCTGAGGCAGGAGGATCACTTGAGGTCAGGAGTTGAAGACCAGCCTGGCCAACATGGTGAAACCCCGTCTCTACTAAAAGTACAAAAAATTAGCCAGGCATGGTGGGGAGGTACCTGTAATCCCAGCTACTTGGGAGGCTGAGGCAGGAGAATCGCTTGAACCCGGGAGGCGGAGGTTGCAGTGAGCCGAGATCACGCCACTGCACTCCAGCCTGGGTGACAGAGTGAGACTCCATCTCAAAAACAACAACAACAAAACACTAAAACTAATAATAATAATAATAGTATAAAAGGGAGTTGATCGATTCCAGAGTAAGTTCTAAATAAGACTAGACTGCATCCTAGCTTATCCTTCCAAGAATTAAGTAGAATGTCCCCATTGTTCTCAATAATTTATTATACACTAAGCCCAAATAAGAAAGAAAAATGAGGTAACTACTGCTATCAAAATACCTTCAAGGCAATAAAATTAGATAGAAGTATTCATTTTGTTTTATTTTTGTTTTTACCACTATACAAATGAGCAGGAAGCATTCATTTTAAAATCTGTATGTGTTCATATTCATTTCTAAAAAAAAAAACTCTTACTAATTACATAGTGAAAACACAAATTTCTTCTTGCAATTAAACATTTCTCAAGAGTTTGATGGGTAAAAAAAATTAAGTTTAAAGATTCATAGAAAAGAAATATTTCTTCGTAAAATTTTAGAACAGATATTTTTCTGAAAGCTTCCAGCACAGGAAAAAAAAAAATTTTGTTTGCAGTAAAAGGATTGACAAGCAGAAAGGCATGGAACTTCTCGACAGCACATTAGGAACCAGTAGAAATGTAGCAGTGCCTCTACAATTTAGAATTAAAATGACTTCCAACCTATAATTCTACACCTAGCTAAACTATCAAATAAGTGTGAGAATACAGGAAAAACATATATCTAGATAGATCTATATGTCTGTATATGCATTATATGCAACTAAAAGTGTGTATTTCTTATGCAGTCTTTCCCAGGGAACTCCGATGAAGTGTTCCAACAAAATGAGCGAGTGAACCAAGAAGAGGATGACATTAGATCCAGGAGATACAACAGAGGAGATAATCTCCAGGATGCCTGTGAAGAAAGATCCCTGGATCCCAGGATGATTATAGGACAAGTTGTTCATAATCCAGCAGGCCAGAAGACTTCCAGGGAAACTCATTCAAGGAGGTGAAAATGATGGATGACTCCTCCAAGATGAAAATGGACCAGCCGCAGTGGCTCACGCCTGTAATACCAGCACTTTGGGAGGCTGAGGCAGGCGGATCACTTGAGGTCAGGAGTTTGAAACTAGCCTGGCCAACGTGGCAAAACTCCATCTCTATTAAAAATACAAAAATTAGCCAGGCATAGTGGTGCATGCCTGTAGTCCCAGCTACTTGGGATGCTGAGGCAGGAAGAATTGCTTGAACCTGGGAGGCAGAGTCTGCAGTGAGCCGAGATCATGCCACTGCACTCCAGCCTGGGTGACAGAGCCAGACTCCGTCTCAAAAAAAAAAGAAAAAGAAAAAAAAAATGATGACTCTTTCAAGAAATGAAAATGATGAGATATCTGGTAGGTCTGAATGACTTAAGAGGAGATTTAAACATTTGGGATAAGTTGAAGATGAGCTGGTGTTCGTCTTCATTTATTTCATTTAAATAAATAAAATTATTAATACATGAATTTTATCTCAAGAAACAAAAATAAGCAATGTACATAAAAATTAAGCAGATGGCTGGCCGGGCGCGGTGGCTCACGCCTGTAATCAGAGCACTTTGGGAGGCTGAGGCGGGTGGATCACGAGGTCAGGAGATGGAGACCATCCTGGCTAACACGGTGAAACCCCGTCTCTACTAAAAAAATAAATAAAAAATAAATTAGCCGGGCGTGATGGCAGGTGCCTGTAGTCCCAGCTACTCGGGAGGCTGAGGCAGGAGAATGGCATGAATCCAGGAGGCGGAGGTTGCAGTGAGTGAGATCACGCCATTACACTCCAGCCTGGGCGACAAAGTGAGACTCCATCTCAAAAAAAAAAAAAAAAAAAAATTAAGCAGATGGCTATAATTTTTTTAAAAATAGAAAAGTGTTGATGAGAAATGGGAAACCTCATACATTGTTGGTCAAACTGTATGCTTCCATTTAGAGGAAATAGTCAGAACAAATAAATCCATAGACACCAATTAGGTTGGTGTATCCCAGGGGCTGGGCATGGAGTGGGGTGGAGAGAGAAGGAGGGCCTGCTTAGTGGATACAGAGTTTTCTTTGGGGGCGATGAAAGTGTTTTGGAACTAGATAGAGGGGGTGGTTGCACAACATTGTTGTTGGTGGGAATTTAAAATGGTGCAAGCACTGTGGAAAAAACAGTTTAGCATTTCCTCAAAAAGTTAAAACAGGCCAGGCGCTGTGGCTCACGCTTGTAATTCCAGCACTTTGGGAGGCCAAGCCAGGTGGATCACTTGAGGTCAGGAGTTTGAGACCAGCCTAGCCAACATGGTGAAACCCTAAAAATACAAAAAATTAGGCGGGCATGGTGGCAGACACCTGTAATCCCAGCTACTCAGGAGACTGAGGCAGGAAAATTGCTTGAACCTGGGAGGCGGAGGTTGCAGTGAGCTGAGATTGCACCGCTGCACTCCAGCCTGAGTGACAGAGTGAGACTCTGTGTGAGAAAAAAAAAAAAAAAGTAAAAACATAGAATTACTATACAGCTAGCAATATCGTTGTTAGGTATATGCCCCAGAGACTTGAATACAGTTACATGCTCCATCAGATACCTGTACCCAAATGTTCCTATCGGTATTACTCATGGTAGCCAAAAGGTAGAAACAACCCAAATATCTACAAATAGATGAATGGATAAATAAAATGCAGTGTATCCATATGGAATATTACTTGGTCTCAAAAGGAAGGAAGTACTTATGCAAGCTACAACATGGATAAACTTCAAAACAATATGCCAAGTGAAAGAATCCAAATGCAAAAGGTCAAACGGTATGCTTCCATTTAGAGGAAATAGTCAGAACAAATAAATCCATAGACACCAATTAGGTTGGTGTATCCCAGGGGCTGGGCATGGAGTGGGGTGGAGAGAGGAGGGGGGCCTGCTTGATGGATACAGAGTTTTCTTTGGGGGCGATGAAAGTGTTTTGGAACTAGATAGAGGGGGTGGTTGCACAACATTGTGAATGTACTATAATAAATGCCACAGAATTGTGTACTCTAAAATGGTTTAATTGCTGTGCATGGTGGCTCACGCCTATAATCCCAGCACTTTGGGAAGCCAGGATGGGAAGACTGCTTGAGCCTAGAAGTCTGAGAGCAGCCTGGGCAACATAGAGAGACCCTGTCTCTTAAAAAAAAAAAAAAAAAATTAGCTGGGTGTGAAGACATGTGCCTGTAGTCCCAGCTACTTGGGAGGCTGAGCGAGGAAGATTGCTTGAGCCAGAGAGGTCAAGGCTGCAGTGAGCCATGATTGCACCACTGCACTCCAACCTGGGCAAGAGAGAGAACCTGTCACAAAAAATAATAAATAAATAAATAAAATGGTTACTACCTGAATTTTACCTCAGGAAAAAAAAATAAGCTAACATACCAACAGGACAGTTATTACTTCCTAAAAAAATAAAAGGATATACAGGAAGGGAAAAATAAATAAAAATTTACCACAAGCTTCAGCTCCACATAGCATTTGTATAGTCATGATAATGTAAACATGTAATGTGAATATATGAATCTAGCCAAAACTATGCCATAACTATAAAGAGGGGAAGGCTAGTACAGGAAGGGGGTCATGGAGCAAAGGGATGAAAGACATGAAGACTCATCCTTCATAGCCTGAATCCGAGGAGTGGATAAAGACTCAATCTAAAGATAAAATAAGGCAGGAAATGAGGAAAAAGAAAAAAACTGTTGAAGTGCATCCAAAGTTGCAGATGGTTAACATTCATTCCACTCACTTGGGAAAACATCTGGTGTGATCGTCTAATGGGTCATCACCTTCCTGCCATTTCTCTAAACACCCTCCACAGGAAAAGCACTGGACGATGTCCTTTATACCTAAAAGTAAGGAAACTTGATCAGTGCCACTGGCATGGGCATCTGTCCATTAACATGCAGATAATAACCACCAGACCTGTAATAGTGAAAGCCTATTCAGTCTCCAGTTGGGTTTTGTGACAGTCAGAAGTTGGTTACCAGTGAGGCAATTTTCTATATAAGACTCTGTCCACCAATGGGGTAACTGGCAAGTAGTCATTGAATGCTCCTACACACCATGCACTTTGATGCACACCATCCCTCTGCCCCATTCTCCTTTGATCAACAAACAGATTGGCAACCAGAATCTGGAATTGAAGCTCCATGAGGGGGCTGGGCGCAGTGGCTCATGCCTGTAATCCCAGCACTTTGGGAGGCCAAGGCCAGCGGATCTCCTGAGGTCAGGAGTCTGAGACCAGCCTGGCCAACACGGTGAAACCCTGTCTCTACTAAAAATACAAAAATTAGCTGGGCATGGTGGCACATGCCTGTAATGCCAGCTACTCAGGAGGCTGAGGCACAAGAATCGCTTGAACCCAGGAGACGGAGGTTGCAGTGAACCAAGATAACGCCATTGCACTCCAGCCTGGGCAACAAGAGTGAAACTCTGTCTCAAAAAATAAAAATAAAAATAAGCTCTATGAGGGTAGAGGTTTTTGCTCACTAATGAATGACATGAACCTAGAAAAGTGCTTGACACTCATGTGGCACTCAATTAGTATTCGTTTAATGAATGAATCAGAAAGAATATATTTAGAGCTCACGGAAAAAAAAATACCAGCAAATCTAGCAGCCCTTATGTAAGTGAATGCATGAAGAATTAATTGCCTCTTACCACATTATTGCCATGTTTATTACACCAGAAATAGGATTAAGTCTCTTTGTGAAATTATATTTCTTTGGAAAGAAATTGGTATTTAGCTCTGCAAAAGGATCAAACTAGAAACAGAGCATTTCTCATCTTCCTTCCACTCTGGGAAAGCTGGGGCAGAGGAAAGCCTCCCAGAAATATGAGATCCTAGAGCTTGCAAGATCTGAAAACAGTCAGAGATGATTAGGATTTGTGTGGAGTGGTGGAGGATTGGAAAGGAAGAGGGGGAGCACACTGGTCAGAGGGGTCTTGCGGAAGGCTGACAAGAGGAAGACACAGTAGAGTAGGGAGAAATGGCAAACACTCTTTCCAAAGGCTTAAGATTGTGAGGCAGTCAGATTTTTTTTTTCCAATGGCACATGTCTGTTAGGTAGAGTGACAACTATATTCTGCTTCTCTGTGTTGCTCTATGGTATTTGTGACAACTACTTGATCTCTCAGTTAAAGATCTGCATTAACCTCCACTGTAACTTATGCATGTGTTCGGTTTGAGCAAGACCAGCAAGGTACCTAGGAACCTTTCCCTGATCATCTTGTATTTCAGGCAGAGATTTAGCTGACAGGAACCAGCCCATCATTTATAGATTGCAGAGGTGCTTCCTAATGACCAGCAGCTAAAGAGAAAATGCCACAATCTGGTGGAAGGCTCTACGTGTTTAGGAATCATGAAAATTAATTTCCTGATTTTCTCCTGCAGGCAGAATGTGGCAAAGATTGCTATCCATGTTCCTATTATCTCAAATCCTTCCATACTAATAGAAATCCCAATATTTAGCTGGGCACATTGTCACCCAGGAAAAAGATTAGGTTTCCCAGCTCCTCTTACAGCTAGGTATGGTCATCTGACTAATAATAATAATAATAATAATAATAATTATTATTATTATTATTATTATTATTATTATTATTTTTGAGACAGAGTTTCACTCTTGTTGCCCAGGCTGGAGTGCAATAGCATGATCTTGACTCCCCGCAACCTCCACGTCCCAGGTTCAAGCGATTCTCCTGCCTCAGCCTCCCAAGTAGCTGGGATTACAGGCACCCGCCACCATGCCTGGCTAATTCTTTGTATTTTTAGTAGAGACAGAGTTTCACCATATTGGCCAGGCTGGTCTCAAACTCCTGACCTCAGGTGATCCACCCACCTCGGCCTCCCAAAGTGCTGGGATTACAGGCGTGAGCCACCATGCCCGGCCCATCCAACTAAGTTCTGATTAAAGAAATATAAGCAGAAGTGTCCTGTGACAGTTTCTAGGAGCACTTTGTCAGGGGACAAGAGGTGAGGAGAGTAATGTGTAGAAAGAAAAGACATGATAATTATCACAAATAGAATACTTGTATTCATTGTTAGTCCAGACCTTAAGGTTTCAAATTTGAAGGTTTACCACCTAAGGGAGGAATAGAAAACTGGGAGAGGATTTATGATGCAGGAAAGAAAAGAGATGTATGCCAGGTGCAGTGGCTCACACCTGTAATCCCAGCATTTTGGGAGGCCAAGGCAGGAGGATTACTTGAGCCCAGGAGGTTGAGGCTGCAGTGAGCCATGATCTCGCCACTGCCCTCCAGCCTGGATGACCATGTCTCAAAAAAAATAGAAAGAAAAGAAAACGAATCTATAAGAAATGCTGAAGAGAGGCCTGGCGCGATGGCTCACACCTGTAATCCCAGCATTTGGGAGGCCAAGGCGGGCAGATCACGAGATCAGGAGATCAAGAGCATTCTGACTAGCATGGTGAAACCCTGTCTCTACTAAAAATACAAAAAAGTAGCTGGGCGTGGTGGCAGGCGCCTGTGGTTCCAGCTACTCCAGAGGCTGAGGAAGGAGAATCTCTTGAACCCGGGAGGTGGAGGTTGCAGTGAGCCAAGATCTGCATTCCAGCCTGGGCAACTCTGTCTCCAAGGGGGAAAAAAAAAGAAAAGAAAAAGAAACGCTGAAGCTAGTGGACATTGCTGAGTGTAGCTAAACGTAAGCCCAGGAGCATAAAGTCTATGTGGGAATTAAAGGTCAAGCAAGCAAGTGGGCACAACCTACTGACTCACCTGTGTAGAAAAGACCTGCTTTGGCCAGTGCTGCAACTCCCACAGCTGATTCCCGGGGCCAGTCCTTAAAAGAGTCCAGCCGTAGTTCTTCGTAAGCAAAGATGCTGTCATTGCAATAAGCTTGAATAAAAAGCACAAGGTGAGACCAGCAGGCTTTAGTCTTTTTTTTTTCTATATCTTTATTGCTGCTGCACAAATTAAAGAGACCAGTAGGCTTTGATATTGCAAGTATCAGCGTTCAAGTTGTCCCTTCACAGTTACAGATGGAATGATGTCTAGAGTTTGCTTCAAAATAAACGGGGCGGGGCGGGGGGGACGACAAAAAGAGATAGGGACAAAAAATCAAAAGAAGAAATAAACAAGCAAAGCCTTTGGAAAATGTTTGAGTTTTTACCTGATGCCATAGGTAATTCTCTCTGGACCCAGGAATTCACAAAATGTTCTCCCTGAGGGAAATTAAAATTCAAGTTGTTGATTATCTGACTTTTTTTTTTTTTTTTTTTTTTGAGGCAGAGTCTCACTCTGTTGCCCAGGCTGAAGTGCAGTGGCAGGTTCTCGTCTCACTGCAACCTCCGCCTCCTGGGTTCAAGTGATTCTCCTGCCTCAGCCTCCCGAGCAGTACAGGCATGTGCCACCACACCCGGCTAATTTTTTTTTTTTTTTTGTATTTTTAGTAGAGACAGACACGATGTTGGAGGTCTTTTTTTTTTTTTTTTTTTTTTTTTTTTGAGACAGAGTCTCGCTCTGTCGTCCAGGCTGGAGCACAGTGGCACGACCTTGGCTCACTACAAGCTCCGCCTCCCAGGTTCACGCCATTCTCCTGCCTCAGCCTCCCGAGTAGCTGGGACCACAGGCGCCTGCCACCATGCCGGGCTAATTTTTTTTTTTTTTGTATTTTTAGTAGAGATGGGGTTTCACCATGTTAGCCAGGATGGTCTCTATCTCCTGACCTCATCATCCGTCCGTCTCGGCCTCCCAAAGTGCTGGGATTACAGACGTGAGCCACTGCACCCGGCCCATGTTGGAGGTCTTGAGGCTGGTCTCGAACACCTGATCTCAAGTGATCTGCCCAGCTCGGCCTCCCAAAGGGCTGGGATTACAGGCATGAGCTACTGCGCCCAGCCTGATTGTTTGACTTATGAAGTATATACCTATCTATGAACAAGAACTGAAGGAACTTTACCCCAGAATGAAGAGTTTCACTGGATGGAACGGCAGAGTCGGAGGAGAATTATTCCTTTAATTTTTATTTCTGTTGATGTTGCAATTGTTTTTATGCAGTGCAAGCAAACACACACACACACACACACACACACACACACACACGCATGCAAGCTGTGAATGTTTATGCATACTCAGGAGGAAGCCTTCTCAGGGTCACTGTTTCCGGAAACTGACCTTGAAAACAGACCTGCATTTAAATATCACAGATGTACTTTGACGAATGAGGAAGTAAGAGACATAGAATGGTAACTAAATTCATCAGGGTATTATATATTGAGCAACTGATTCTTCTGGGAAAGCTGCACCCAGTTTCTTTTTGAGGAAACACCTCTCTTCCCCCACTGTCAGGCCATGTTCTCTATAGAGTTCTGGTCTCCTGAGTCATGTTAATCAATAAATTCTCATTTTTGTTTAAGCCAGTTTGGATTCGATTTCCCATCACTCTCCACTAGGAAATTTTTACTGATTCAGGATAGTTAGCCAGCTAGGAAGAGCCAGCTCTGCAGCCCACTGTGGGTGACAGCGCCTAGGTCAGGAGATCTTAGCAAGCCTGCAGATAGGGGCAGCAGAGGGAAGCTGGGGCAAGTGGCTTCATTCATAAAGGGGAAGACTATCAGGAAGGCAAGCAGAGCCCGTCAGAAGCCAGCCCTGGAAAAAGAAAAAGGCTCTAGGTCAGCAAGTGAATGTGATATTTTTCACTTTGAAGATGGGAGCCAGGGGAATGAAAGGAGAAAGGAAGAAAGAAATCAAACCCATGACATAAAAAGAATGCCTATGCCCTTCTGAGTCAGACACTTACAGGTAATCCAAAAACTTGAGAAAAAAATTGCTGTTATACATTACCGTTATGTCAACAAATCCCTTGTAGCTTTGAATATACTGGGTAATTTCCTCTGAGGATTTCTTACTCCGAAGAAATTCACATCTGTAATTAATAAATATAATTAAAATTTACCCCAGTACTGTGATAGAGCTGTCCTATATCACAATGAACATTTATAAAGACGTATTGAATTGTTGAATTTTATTATACTTCAATAAAATTGCCAAAAAAATTACCACAAAACTTAGGAGAATTACCATTATTCTCATATAATTATTTGTTATTTCTATTAGTGACAACATGTGTAGTTATTTAAAATTAAATCTTCAGGTTAACTTTTTTCTTGAAATAAAACATGCAATACAATCAAAGAGACTGATTTACAGTAAATATAGGATGGAGCTTTTGTTTTTTGGAATTAAGCAGTGGTGACTAAATCTAGTCGCTAGGGTTATATGAAAGCTACTGGCAGTAAAGAGAACTATATTTAAAATAATAGGCCAGACGCAGTGGCTCACATCCAGGAGTTCAAGACTAGCCTGGGCAACATGGCAAAACCCCATCTCCACAAAAAATACAAAAATTAGCCGGGCATGGTGCCACACCTCTGTAGTCCCAGCTACTCAGGAGGCTGAAGGGGGAGGATCACCTGAGCCCGGGGAGGTAGAGGCTGCACTGAGCCATGATCAGGCTGCTACACTCCAGCCTGGGCAACAGACTGAGACCCAGTCTCAAAAGTAAATACAAAAAATCTTTTTAAGATAACAATATATTTATCTACTGAACAAAAAATTACCATGCATTAAAAAGTAATGGCTATTAGGCCAGGCGTGATGGCTCACGCCTGGAATCCCAGCACTTTGGGAGGCCGAGACAGGTGGATCACGAGGTCAGGAGTTCGAGACCAGCCTGGCCAAGATGGTGAAACCCTGTCTCTACTAAAAGTACAAAAATTAGCTGGGTGTGGTGGCGGGCGCCTGTAATCCCAGCTACTTGGGAGGCTGAGGCAGGAGAATCGCTTGAACCTGGGAGGTGGAGGTTGCAGTGAGCTGAAATCATGCCACTGCACTCTAGCCTGGGCAACAGAGCAAGACTCAATCTCAGAAAAAACCAAAAACAAAAAAAGTAACGGATGTTAATGGATAATTTTTGATTTTTTTAAAAAAGAGCACACTGAATACCATTTAAAAACATATTCCTTTCCCATAAAAGAGAAGCAGTTTTAAAATTAACTTTTAAAATTTCCTCCAATTCAGCTGGGCATGGGGGATCATGCCTGTAATCCCAGCACTTTTGGAGGCTGAGGCGGGTGGATCACTTGAGGCCTGGAGTTTGAGACCAGCCTGGTCAACATGGTGAAACCCCATCTCTACTGAAAATACAAAAATTAGCCAGGCATGGTGGCGGGCGCCTGTAATCCCAGCTGCTTGGGAGGCTGAGGCGGGAGGATCACTTGAACCTGGGAAGCAGAGTTTGCAGTGAGTCATGATTGTACCACTACACTCCAGCCTGGGCAACAGAGAGAGACTCTGTCTCAAAAAAAATAAAAATAAAAATAAAAATCCCTCCAATTCAAATTTAAGTTTTCTTTCTATGGTGCTGTAGCAAAGAATGGGCTGGGAACCCAAAGGCTGGAGCATTAGTACCCGCTCTTCCACCAGTGGGGATGTGACCAACCTTGCCATGTTCTCTTATAATCACAGGAGAACATGGATGCCATCAGATGATCTGCATATTTCCCCAGGGCCATGATTCTATGTGATAGGCAGCCAGGGTCCCCAGTTTTCAGGTGTATAAATGTTTCCAAGGATTGCCGTAAGTCTGCACATAACCTACATGGCACACAATGCACGGGGTGGTTCCCTGTCCTCATGATTTATATGGATTGAGGAGGAACTCAGTACCTTAAAAAGTTACCATAAAATCATCTTACATTTATGGAGTGCCACATTTTAAAAAGTGTAAGGGTATACTCATTTTGTTGACAGTTGATAAAAAGAAGCAACAAATTGAAGTCCAGAAAGCTAAAGACAGAGTAACCCAACAAGAAACTTGGGGATTCTTGCTCTAATTCCAGCTCTTAGATTTTATTGACTGACCATGTGCTTATGACGACAAACAAATGAAAGGCAAAACAGTTGGTCATCTGTCATCCTCACATTATACATGGTAATTTTTACAAAGCATTTGATCCATATACTTTGTTTCTCATCCTTACAACCACCAGACAAGCTGTACATTATTATCTGCTGTGGAAGTCGCAGATACCAAGATGAAATCACTTTTATCAGACCCACACAAAATAGGGCTGGGAAGGCACGAAGGAGTGGGGTTCAGGCTTTCATGTCCAAGACAGGAACGGTTCCAAAGACTTTCTAAGAATCCCATAAGAAATCCCTTCACGCCTGTCACGCATCTCCTGCTTTGCATTGCTTGCATGTACGCACATATTTCTATGGCAAGGTTTATCACTGCACATTCTTTTGGACTGCAGCAATTCAGATAAGATAACATGAGATGAGATGCTGTCAAAAGAACACCTGCCCAGGAACAGCATCTCCACCAATGAACACACAAGAACTCTGGCTTTGAGCCTTCAGAACCAAGGAATTCTCTTCTGCCCTCTCTCCTCTCCCCTCTCCCCCGTCCCCTGTCTTCTCTCTCCTCTCCCCTCTCCCCTCTCTCCTCTCTCTCTAAAGAAACTGGAGCCTCATCACATTGCCCAGGCTGGTCTCAAACTCCTGGCCTCCAAAGACCCTCCCGCCTCAGCCTCCCACATAGCTGTGATTACACGTATGAGCTACCATGCCCAGCTATGAACTCTGTTTCTAAGCAGCTTATGTGAACTTCTCCCTTTTGCCAAGAAAAATTCCCTTTACTCTTCCCTCACTGCACGTGCCTGTGGTTTACAGTAGTGCATTCCAAATCATAACCCTCTTTTCTTATTCCTGAATAAATTTGACATATTTGGGGATATCTGTCTCTAATTTTTTTGTTGTTGTTGACACTGCATTTTACATATGAGATTCAGACAAGGTCAGTCACCTGCCTAGGGTCTGGTAGTCAGGTAGCAGCAGATTCAAGCCTGGCTCTATCTCCTAAGCCTCTGCACTACCCCCTGCCCTTGTTTGCTGGCCTGAACTCCTTCCTCTCTAGGAGTGGTTGCTGGACTGCTGTCTCCCCTCCCTGTGCTTATTACCTTACCCTCTGACTATGTTAGAGAAGGCATATGAAGGCCCCTGCAGACAGGATGTGCGGCTCTAGTAGGTGCTAGTCACATGATAATGTGATCATGTGTGAGTGGTGCCACTGGTACTTGTCCAGTGTATAACCCAGCGACACTAAACACAGTGACCCTGAGGCTAAGTGAAGCCTGAGCTGAGGCTAGAGCTGAGACAGGTGCCCACGAGCAGCGGCTTGTGCTCCAGCCGGGGCTGCTGTTCCCTGTTACATATGCATATATGGTGCACTGTCAGCATGGACAAGGACTGCCTGGGTGGCTGTTTTGATTCGTCAGGGAGCCAGAGTGACTGTCAAATGATTTCTCAATTCTAGCTTCATTCGTCCCTATAACCATCTCATCTACTTGTCTAACTTTCTCTCTCTCCTCTTCCTGCCTTTCTCCTCTCCTCCCTTGTTTACTTCCTCCCTCCTAATCTCCTCACTTTCTTTTCAACTATGAAAGTAATATATACTTGTTTCCAAAAATTTAAACAAGACAGCAATGAACAAAATAAATGTGAAAATCCATCACTACTTCACCCCCTGACAAATCCAGATCCAGAAGTATCTACAGTTTGGTTTACATATTTTCATAAGGTTTTCTATATATTTTCAAGCAACTCCATATATAGTTTGAGTGGTTTTAAACATTTTCAAAGTCTCACACTGCACTTATTGTGCATATTGCTTTCCCACACAACGTATCAAAACATACCAAAGATATCCATTCACTTTTTTTTTCTTTTGAGATGGAGTCTCACTCTGTTGCCCAGGCTGCTGTGCAGTGGAGTGATCTTGGCTCACTGCAACCTCCGCCTCCCAGGTTCAAGCAATTTCTTGCCTCAGCCTCCCGAGTAGCTGGAACCATAGGCACGCACCACCACGCTCGGCTCATTTTTGTATTTTTAGTAGAGATGGGGTTTCACCATGTTGGCCAGGGAAGAGGGGAGATAGGAGAGGAGAGAGGAGAGAGGGAAGAGGGGAGAGGAGAGTTCATCACTTGAATGAACTCCTGGCCTCAAGTGATTTGCCCGCCTTGGCCTCCCAAAGTGCTGGGATCACAGGTGTGAGCCACTGTGCCCAGCCTTTTTTTTTTTTTTTTTTTTGAGATGGAGTCTCGCTGTGTTGACCAGGCTGGAGTGCAGTGGTGCGATCTCAGCTCACTGCAACCTCTGCCTCCCGGGCTCAAGCAATTCTCCTGCCTCAGCCTCCCAAGTAGCTGGGATTACAGGCGCCTGCCACCACGCCTGGCCAATTTTTGTATTTTTAATAGAGACAGGGTTTTACCATGTTAGCCAGGCTGGTCTTGAACTACTGACATCAAATGATCCGCCTACCTTAGCCTCCCAAAGTGCTGGGATTACAGGCATGAGCCACCATGCCGGGCCTCCATTCACTTTTGTGGGCATGGCTGTCCATGTGCAAGATGACTTATAAATGTAAATAACTGTGTCCAGTTTTGTAGTTAATTTAGTATCCAACCAACAACTTTGCATGTAGTAGGTGTGTGACAAATATTTGTTAAAGAAAATAGAATCTGAGGCTGGGCACGGTGGCTCATGCCTATAATCCCAGCACTTTGGGAGGCCGAGGCAGGTGGACTGCCTGAAGTCAGGAGTTCGAGACCAGCCTCGCAAATATGGAGAAACCCCGTCTCTACTAAAAATACAAAAACTAGTCAGGTGTGGCAGTGCGCACCTATAATCCCAGACCTGGGTGGGGTGAGGCAGGAGAATCGCTTGAACCCAGGAGGCAGAGGTTGCAGTGAGCCAAGATTGCACCGCTGCACTCAAGCCTGGGCAACAGAGTGAGACTGTCACAAAAAAAAAAAGAAAGAAAGAAAATAGAATCTGAGCCTGACCAAACTGCTAGATCCAAGTGTCAGGTTCCTGGAAATGCAGAAGGTAGAGGAACATGTTAGACTATGCCAGAGGAACACATTCTGCCAAATCTAGAGTAGAGGGAATTTTACAGGACAGATTACATGGCTTCTTTAACAAATAAGTGACAAGAAAAAAGAGATGGATAAAGAGGAAATCTACGAATTAAAAATCTTAAGGGGCTGAGCACAGTGGCTTATGCCTGTAATCCCAGCACTTTGGGAGGCTGAGGTGGGAGGATCACTTGAGTCCAGGAGTTTGTATAACCAGGAGTTCCAGACCAGCCTGGGCAACAAAGTGAAACCTTGTCGCTATAAAAGATATGAAAATTAGCTGGGCATGGTGGTAGGCACCTGTGGTCCCAGCTACTCAGGACGCTGAGGTGGGAGGATTGCTTGAGTCTGAGAGGTGGAGGTTGCAGTGAGCTGAGATTGCACCACTAAACTCCAGTCTGGGCTCCAGTCTGGGCAACAGAGCAAAACTCACTCTCAAAAAAAAAAAAAAAAAAAAGAAAGAAAACAACAAATCTTGGTCAGGCACAGGTGGCTCATGCTTGTAATCCTAGCACTTTGGGAATCCAAGGTGGATCACTTGAGGCCAGGAATTTCAGACCAGCCTGGGCAACATGATGAAACCGCATCTCTACTAAAATTACAAAAATTAGCCAGATGTGGTGGCACATGCCTGTAGTCCCAGCTACTCGGGGAGCAGAGGCAGAAGGATCACTTGAGCCCAAGAATTCAAGGTTACAGTGAGCCACAATTATGCCACTCACTGTACATTTCATGAAATCTCTTTCCTCAACAGCATCCCCATTCAGATGTCACATCCATTCCGATAATATATCAGGGAGAGATGATAACAATTATGCAATTATATTGCATAATTGAATTATATTGAAATATAATCCATCGGGAGCAGTGGCTCATGCCTGTAATCTCAGCACTTTAGGAGGCCGAGGTGGGTGGATCACCTGAGGTCAGGAGTTTGAGACCAGCCTGGCCAACATGGCAAAACCCCATCTCTACTAAAAATACAAAAAAAAAAAAAAAAAAAAAGAAATTAGTCAGGTGTGGTGGCACGTGCTTGTAGTCCCAGCTAGTTGGGGCTGGCTGTGGTGGCTTACACCTATAATCCCAGCACTTTGGGGGGCTGAGGCCAGGAGTTCAAGACTAGCCTTGCCAACATGGTGAAACCCCATCTCTACTAATAATACAAAAAAAATAGCTGGGCATGGTGGCGCATGCCTATAATCTCAGCTACTCGGGAGGCTGAGGCAGGAGAATTGCTTGAACCCACGAGGCAGAGGTTGCAGTGAGCCGAGATCGCACCACTGTACTCCAGCCTAGGCGACAAGAGTGAAACTCCATCTCAAAAAAAGAGAAAGAAATATAATTCACACATCATAAAATTCACCCATTTAAAATGAACAACTGAGGGTGCGGTGACTCATACCTATAACCCCAATGCTCTTGAGGCCAAGGCGGGAGGATTGCTTGAGACCAGGAGTTGAGATCAGCCTGGGCAACATAGCTAGACCCTGTCTCTAAAAAACTTTTTTTTAAAGAAAACGAAAACTTAGCAGGGCATGGTGGCATGTGCCTGTAGTCCTAACTACGTGGGAGGCTGAGGTGGAAGGATCTCTTGAGCCCAGGAATATGAAGCTGCGGGGAGCTATGATTGCAGTACTGTACTCCAGCCTGGACAACAGAGTGAGGCTCTGTCTCTAAAAAAAGTAAATAAAATGTACAGTTCAATAAATATCAGCATATTCATAAACATGCACAACCACCACCACAATCAATTTTAGAACATTTTCATCCCCCCAGAAAGAAACGCTGTGCCCATTAGCAGTTGCTTTCCATGTCCCCCATTACCCTCCTAGCCCTAGGCAACTACTATGTTACTTTCTGTCTCTATAGATTTGCCTACTGGGGACATTTCATTTAAATTGAATCATACAGTACGTGGTCCTTTGTGTCTGGTTGCTTTCACTTTGCAAAATGTTCATGTTGGTAGAGGTGCTTAAAAAATAAAATAAAAAGAACAACAAAAAAAGGAAGCGAAATTCATCCATGTTGTATTGTTTTAGTACTTCATATTCCTTTTCATTGTCAAATAATATTTCATTATGTGGATATACCACACTTTATTATCACATATACCATATTTTATTCCTCAACCCAGTTGATGGATGTGTGGATTGCTTACGCTTTTTGGCTATTATAAATAATACCGCTGTGCACATTAGTGTGCAAGTTTTTATATGGACATTTTTCACTTTTTTTTTTTCTTGAGACAGGGTCTTGCTCTGTCACCTAGGCTGGAGTGCAGTGGCTTGATCACCATCCATTGCAGCCTCAACCTCAAGGGCTGAAGCGATCCTCCCACCTCAGCTTCCCAAGCAGCTCGTACGACAGGAGCACACCACCATTTTTTATAGAGACAAGCGTGTTGGGGGTGTTGGTGGGGGGGGTCTCACTATGTTGCCAAGTTGGTCTCAAACCCCTGGGCTCAAGTGATCCTCCCACCTCAGCCTCCTAAAGTGCTGGGATTACAGGCCTGAGCCACCACACCTGGCCCATTTTTCACTCTTAAACTTACAGTTGTATTGTCATACTAAACTAAGTTAATTGCCGTTTAATTTTTTATTAGCAGGTATAACAATACATTATGCACCATGGTCCAACAATGACAATAAAGTTTTTCACCACTCCGGGCATTTTATCCACACCAATGTAAATGTCCTTGGGTCCCATAGCACCAAGAGACTCTGCCACCCTTTTCTTTACATCACACTGCTTTAAAGTGACTGTAGATTCTGCTTTTGCATCATCCTAAAGGTTTATTTGTTTAATTCATCAAGACTAGGATACATTAGAATCTTGACTGGGCACAGTGGCTCACACCTGTAATCCCAGCACTTTGGGAGGCTAAGGTGGGAGGATTGCTTGAGCCCAGGAATTTGAAACCAGTCTGGGCAACAAAGTGAGATGGAGTCTTGCTCTGTTCACCCAGGCTGGAGTGCAGTGGCACAATTTTGACTCACCGCAACCTCTGCTTCCCAGGTTCAAGCAATTCTCCTGCCTCAGCCTCCTGAGTAGCTGGGATTACAGGCATGTGCCACCATGCCCGGCTAATTTTTTTATTTTTAGTAGAGACAGGGTTTCACCATGTTGGCCAGGCTGGTCTCGAACTCCTGACCTCAGGTGATCCACCCGCCTCGGCCTCCCAATGTGCTAGGATTACAGGTGTGAGCCACCATGCCCAGCCCTTTCCTTTTTTTTTTTTTTTTTAATAGGAGACAAGGGCTCACTCTGTTGCCAAGGCTGTAGTACAAGTGCAGTGGCATGATTCTAGCTCACTGTAGCCTCAGATTCCTGGGCTTAAGCAATCCTCTTGCCTCAGCCTCTCAAAGTGCTGGGATTACAGGTGTAAGCCAGGACACCCGGCCTCCTTTCTTTTGAATGATATTAATCTGTTCATCATTCAGCACAATTTGGAGCAAAGGAACTAGTAAGTCTTCAACAGGCTTTCACTTCATCCTGCTCCCCCAGTAGTAGGGTCATACAAAAAGTCTACGAAGGTAGAGGCCCTCTTATCACAGCAACAATCATCACTTAAGTCAAAGACATAAAATTAAGGGATACCTTAGTTTCATCACAGAACCAGTCCAAATGTGTTTGTTTGCATTCTCAACATTTCAGTAACCTCTAGGGAGTATTTCTTCTAACAATTATGGGTGGAATTGGGCAGTTCCCCTTTACAAGATATGTTTTATGTACTGCCACCTTTGTGCAGCTCAACCGATTTGGAATTTGCCCAGCTAACCACATTCCGGCAAAAGCTGCAGCTAATTGAAGATCTTCAACGAATTCAGCTAATTAAGACCAAACACACCCTTTCATTTGAAGGTACATTTGACAGTACCTAATACAAGGAAAAGAGCTCCTTTGTCATTCATGTATATCCAACCCAGCAGTGGTTCTGCAGGAAGCTCTGTCAGTCCACAGGCAACTTCACTCTTGTGTAGTTCCCTGTTTCAGTTGTCTCTTGATGCCCTCCCACTGTAGTTTCGTTGGTGATTATCTACCCGATGAGGGTCACATTCCCATCAGAAGAAATATCTGCCCAACTCCTCTTTGGCATCATGTTCCTTCCCTTTACAGAAGGAAATTGGTGGACTTGGCAACACAGGCTCTTTTTTAGTTACTTTCATTTTTGCCAAAGCAGCCTAACCAGCCAGGGAACTGTATTCTTGGCTGACTTCCTCTGTGTCTGGATTTCTTTTTAAATCTATTTAGCGATTTCCTCTTGCTCTGCATCAACCACCTTCAAGTTCCATTGTCATCCCTTTCTTCCCATTGAGAGTTGTAGCACTTCAGCAAATTCAAACAGGGATTCCCCAGCAACTAGCCTGGCACCAGTGGCTCTAAATCTTTCCCCACTTTTCATCTTTCTCCCAAACAAAGCCTTAGCTATCATTTAAATTATAAAGTAAAAAACTGGGGGGCCAGGCGCAGTGGCTCACACCTGTAATCCCAGAACTTCGGGAGGCTGGGACGGGCGGATCACTTGAGTTCAGGAGTTCAAGACCAGCCTGGCCAACATGGCGAAACCCCATCTCTACTAAAAATACAAACAAATTAGCCGGGCGTGGTGGTGCATGCCTGTAATCCCAGCTACTCGGGTGGCTGAGGCACAAGAACTGTTTGAACCCAGGAGGCAGAGGTTTCAGGCTTCAGTGCCACTGCACTACAGCCTGGGCAACAGTGTGAGACCCTGTCTCGAAAAAAAAAAAGAAAAAAAAAAACCTGGGGCCAGGCGCAGTTGCTCACACCTGTAATCCCACCACTTTGGGAGGCCAAGGCAGGCAAATCACTTGAGCCCAGGAGTTCGAGACCAGCCTGGGCAACATGGTAAGACTCCAGCTCTACAAAATAATTTTTTTAAAAGTTAGGCAGCCGTGATGGTGTGCGCCTATAGACCCAGCTACTCGGGAGGCTGAGGTGGGAGGATCTCTTGAGCCCAGGAGGTTGAGGCTATAGTGAGCTGTGATCAAGATACTGCACTCAACTTGGGTGACAGAGTGAGAGAGACCCTGTCTCAAAAACAAAAAAAAAGTAATGATCCTATTCACAGTACCCTCTTCATCAATTACACAGGTTTGGATCATTGAAAAGACTTAGAAGACTCCGCATAGTATCCTCACATAAGGCTTTAATAAAGGTAAAGGATAGATACAAAAAAAAAAAACCCAACAAACCAAAAGGCAAGTGAAACACCACACCCAGTTCCTAGGGTCCTTTTGCAGCCACAGAGGATGTGGAAGATGTGCTTCATCTTTAAGCAATGAACCAGCTAGATGATACATGCAAGACACCTTGGTCTCAAGAGAACTGTAACCTCATCTGAGGCTCTTTTATACTCCTCTGATCAGGTAGCCAACACTAGCTTGCATACCAGGGCTCAAAACCAGAAACAAGCTGGTATAGTCAAGCTGGGGCAGTGGCATGCACCTGTAATCCCAGCTACTTGGGAGGCTGAAGTGGGAGGATCACTTGAGCCCAGAAGTTCAAAGCCAATGAGATTTCATCTCCAAAAAGAAAGAAAGAAGCAAGAAACAGGCTGCTCCCTGGTCTGTCTCCCACCCCAGCACAGGACTCTATTAATCACTGGCTAGTACATTTCATTTAGGTTTGGCCAAGGAACAGCACCAAGGCTTCAGGCCTCCCCAGAGATAAATGAGTACAGAGTTGCAGCAGACCAGCAGACATTGATCCTGTCTGACACAACGAAGTTTGGTGGTCAATCATGCCAGTCTAGAGGCTGTTTCTGGGGGAGGAGAAGTAATTTCCAAGGCCCTTTCCAGGTCTAATATTCTTTGACTACAGTGCTAAGAGTGCCATTGAGGCAACTGTGCCATGGAGCTAGGATTTAAACCCAAGTCTGTGTGACTCCAGTGTCTGTCCTCTTTCCTCCATACCATCCTGCCTCCAAAGAGAGAAACAATAGCAAGACAAAGAAGGGACCATAGGTTTAGGTGTGGAAGAAAAGCACCTTTGCCAGGGATAGTAATTTACTTACCTGAGGTTTATCCACAGTTCTAGTCTAATAGAGGAGAATGCTGGCCAGTGGAAGGAAAGTATGTGGCTGAAGAACAAATGCTCTGTCCGTCCTTTAGTAGGAAGCAGTGAGAAAATATTTAAGGAACTAAAATGCAAAAAAAAATCGCGCAGTCAGAGACTTTACCAGTAAATGCTCTAAGGTCTTGAGTCAACAGGATTTAATCAGGACCCAAAAGGAGTAATGAAACCTACAGAGTCTCACACCAGAAGTATTTTATTCTAGTTTTTTTGTTTCTG
This sequence comes from Homo sapiens, assembly GCF_000001405.40. Classification (NCBI taxonomy): domain Eukaryota; kingdom Metazoa; phylum Chordata; class Mammalia; order Primates; family Hominidae; genus Homo; species Homo sapiens. The sequence continues at coordinate 951,213 of NW_003315917.2, forward strand.
TTGTTTTTGAGACAGTGTCTCACTCTGTCGCCCAGGCTGGAGTACAGTGGCACGATCCTAGCTCACTGCAGCCTCAAGCTTCCAGGCTGAAGCGATCCTCCCATCTCGACCTCCCAAAGTGCTAGGATTATAGGCATGAACCACCACATCCGGCCTTTATTCTAGTTTGTTAAGATTGGTTAATAGTTAAGGTGCTAGTGTCTTATTTCTGTTATAGTAACAGTTTCTATCTTTCTGGTAGCTTTTAGGATCTTTTCTCCTAAGTGTAGACCTCTCTACATTCATTGGGCTGGGTATTCAATGGGCATTTTCAGTCTGAGCTCTTGGGTCTCCCATCAAGCCTGGGAAATTACCTTCTATTATTTATTTGATAACTTCCTACTGTCTGTTACTCTCTTTTTACTCTTTTGGTATTCCCACTATTCAGGTGAGTAATTAATTGATCACTTATTTTTTTTTCATATATTCTTTTCCTACTTTCTAAGGGTCTCGCTCTGTCATCCAGGCTGGAGTGCAATGGCACAATCACAGCTCACTGCAGCCACCACCTCCTGGACTCAAGTGATCCTCCCACCTAGCCTCCCAAGTTTTGGGACTACAGACGTGTGCTACCATGCACAGCTGATTTTATATTTTATTTTGTGTAGAGATGGGGGTCTCACCTTGTTGCCCAGGCTGGTCTCAAACTCCCGGGCTCAAGTGATCTGCCGGCCTCAGCCTCCCAAAATGCTGGGATGACAGGTGTGAGCCACCGCACCCAGCTGTCCTCTCCTTTATATTCCGGCTCTCCAATCTAGTTTAAAATTTCAGCAATTATAATTTCCCACAGCTCTTTCTTTTCTCTGTGCCTTATTTTCATAGTGTCAATTTTTTTAACCAGTGCCATCTTCCTGAATCTGCTGTACGATACTAATGTTTAAGTTCCTGTTTCCTGAATTATGTTTCCTCAAAGGTTTTTACCACTTACCTTGGTGTTTACTTTTCATATTATCAACTTTCCTCAAATGTGTAGTGATCCTGGGTTTTCAACTCATGTTTAAAAATTAAGTCATTTAAAAACACATTGGTCAAACTAATCATTAAAAAATCAGGAGCCACAGGAGTGGGACTTGAACCTGAGCCTTTCACTCTATGGAGAACAAGAATTACCCTAATGTCAGAATGTCAGAGAAAGATTTCAGAAAATGATTTCAAGTTACTTGGGGTTTTTTTTGTTTTGTTTTGTTTTTGGAGATGGGGTCTCACTTTGTCACCCAGACTGGAGTGCAGTGGCACAATCTCGGTTCACTGCAGCCTCTACCTCCCAGGCTCAAGTGATCCTCTCATCTCAGCCCCACAATAGCTGGGACTACAGGCATGCACCACCACACCTGGCTAATTTTTGTATTTCTAGTAGAGACAGGGTTTCGCCATGTTGCCCAAGCTGGTCTTGAACTCTTGACCTCAAGCCATTTGCCCACCTCAGTCCCCCAAAATGCTGGGATTACAGTCATGAGCCACTGGGCCTGGCCCGTTACTTGTAAAGACAAAGCTAGCAGCCGAAAACTTACTTGGAACGTTCCTTGGACATAAAATCACCATTTCTTAAAAGGATTCTTAGTTTTGGGGTGCCAGTGCCCACACTGGTTCTCTAGGTCAGCTAAGAGAAAGCAATGTGTTCAATTTTGGGGGAAGCAGGGAAGACTCCTGTAATTTTTTGCCCCAGGGTAAACACTTGTGTGTCAAATATTCTGATCATGGGGTAGAGAGAGCTGACTGTCCCGTGCACGGGCTTCCAATTAGTCCCTCAATTTTCAGCCCTTCATGTCACTCCAGCCCTCCTTCCTATCTGGCATCCTGTGTCCGCAGTTACTCCAAGCTTCTCCATAGGGCAGATAGTCTCTCATAGGAGACTCCATATTCAGGAAGCGGTTTCCTTGAGCTGCTTCCTTCCTGACTACTAGTCCATATAGTTTCTACTTTCCAAGAATGTGTTAAAATATTCTATGTGCTACTGGTCCCATTTCTGTTCTATTTTATTTTTTTTTACCTTTAAACTCTGTTGGACTTGACATTCTTGTTTTCTTAATTTTCCTGGGTTTATACTTTTAAGAATCAGTAATATTGTGTATTTATTACCAAAAACATGAACTAAAATTTACATAGAGCCTATCAAGGAAAAACCATTTCTCTACTCACATTTCTGACATCAAATATATGGGTTTTCCACCAACCAATTCTCCAGTTCTCCACAGACAGCAGCTGAGTGTCTTACAATTTTACTCAATTCTGATGCTAATTAACCAGAGTTAGTGCAGACCCCACGGGTTAGGGGCTCAGCCCCCAAGACTGCCCCCTACTTCAGATGCCAGCCACAACTATTAGGACCTCAGGGTACCCACACTTCTGTCTGAGTTCACTACAAATCATGGGTATCTGCAACCCCCTCAGGTTCGATAATTTCTTTCTTGGGGGTTGGGGGAGTTTAGGAGCAGAGGTTTAATAGGCAAAAGAAAGAAAAACGAGAACAGATCTCTCCCTTGTGAGGGGCTTCCGAAAGGAAAATCCGGCCTGCGGTGGACTGCACCAGATTTTATAGGTAGGCCTGAGGAGGCGGCGTCTGATTTGCGCAGAGCCCACAGGTTGGTTTGAACAGGTGTGACGTTTACATAGCACGCGGGGAAGGTTGGGCGCCCCACCCTAATCTTACTATGACAAAGGGCAGAGTGACCTTGACATGCCATGTGCTTTCCAGAGCAAGGGCAGAGAGTGACGCTCACTGTGGTGGGAGAGGAGACCCTCTGTTCCTAGAAAATCACAACAGCATGCCCCTGTGCTATATCCCTGGTTACTACAGCAGTCTTTGTTCTTGCCTAACAAGATTACTTCCCTGAACTGTAAAACTCCCTCAGTACTGCATACAGAGAGAGGTTAGGAGACATGGTGGTCGTGGATAGGAAATGAGGGAATTATGATAGGAAAGTTGGAGGTCCTGTTGCTGACACCCCTTAGGGTGGTCGGAGGCTGGGGTCAGTCCAGAAGCCTTCGGATGGCACCAGGAGGTAGCCCCAGCCAGAAATCCTCAGTTGCTCCAGGACCTCTTCCAGCCCCACACGACAGCTTGGTCCTCCGTGAAAGGAAACTGGTTCAAACATGGCCAATATGCCCAGCAGCCCGTGGGTATTGGGGGGTTCTCCATGTTCTCCCCAGCAAGCCTGTCCCCCAAAACTTGTAAGGCTGGCAGCCACGCTCATAATTTTTAAATGGCTAATTGGTGAAGGCAGAGTTTTCTCATTCACAGAAGCAGAAGGGGGCCCAGTATTTGGTTTGGTTTGATTCTAAAATGGAGGCCAAGAGCCTCGAAATCAAAGGACAGAGTTGAGGTCCGCCCCTTTACTCACCTTTGCAATGAATGCACCTTGGAATCCCAGACGAAGTCCCCAATATGAAGTGGCATTGTTGTCTGGGGTCAATACCCGGGGTTCGTCGTCTCGCACCAACAAGGTTAAGGACACGATACACACGAAGAGTGGGTTTAGGAGCGGAGGTTTAACACGCAAAAGAAAAAGGAGAACAGCTCTCTCCCTTGTGAGAGAGAGCGGCTTCCGAAAGGAAAATCCCAGGTTCGATCGTTTCTTATAATGGCTCACAGAACTCAGAAACTTTACTTATGTTTACTGCTTTATTATAAAGGATACAGATGAACAGGCAGTCGAAGAGGTACACAGGGCAACGTCCAGAAGGGTCCCAGGTGAGCACAGGACCTTTTGTCTTCATGCAGTTTGAGGTGCATCGCCTTCTTGGTATGTGGTTGGGGTTAACCAAACCGAAAGCTCTCCAAACCTGTGGTTTATTTTTTAATGGAGGTGCCATCACTTAGGCATGATTGGCTAAATCACTGGCAACTGGTGGTTAATCAATCGCCAGCCCTTTTACCCTCTCTGGAGGTCGAGGCGTGGGGCTGCAAATCCCAGACCTCTAATCATGCCTTAGTCTTTCACGGGATAGCCCCCATCCTGAAGTTGTCTAAAGGATCCCAGCCACCAGTTAGCTCACTGTCATACACTCTTATCACTTGGAGATTCCAAAGGTCTTAGAAGCTCTTGTGTCAGGAACCAAGACCAAGTATTCTAATAAAAGATGTTTCTATCACCCCTGTCACTCAGGAAATTACAAGGGTTTCTGGAGATCTGTGCCAGGAACTGGATGAAGATCAAATATATATATTTATTATATCACAATATTGCAGCCTACTACTTGCCAGGCACAATTCTAAGCACTTTACATGTGTCCACTTAATTCCTTTAACAGTCCAAAATCAGCTATTGCTATATCATCTCCATATTACAGATAAGGAAACTCAAGCACATAGGGGTTAAGGTTAACCAGTGATCTGGCTAGTCTGTACTTTTACCTGATGTTGTGCTGCCATACAGACTAGATTTTTTTTTTTTTTTTTTAGACTGAGTCTTGCTCTGTTGCCAGGCTGGAGTGCAATGGCGTGATCTCAGCTCACTGCAAACCCCGCCTCCCGGGTTCAAGTGATTCTCCTTCCTCAGCCTCCCCAGCAGCTGGGACTACAGGCACATGCCACCTCGCCCAGCTAATTTTTGTATTTTCAGTAGAGACAGGGTTTCACCATGTTGACCAGGATGGTCTCGATCTCTTGACCTCGTGATCCGCCCACTTCGGCCTCACCAAATGCTGGGATTACAGGCGTGAACCACAGCACCCAGCCAAGACTAGATTTTTAAGAAAAGGCAATCCAGATGTCCTAGAAGGTTCATTTCCTCTTTTTGGTGGTTTAGTAAATTTCTTAGTAAGGCTTCTAGCTGTTATAGCAGCATTAGTATGTGAACCACAGTTAAGCTCTAGTCCAACAAGGCCATTTCTTCAGCAGAGAAGCAATTGTTAAATAATCGACCAAGTATTCATTGGCTCCCTCTTTTTGTATCAACATACACAATTGTTACAGTGCCAGTGTTTATTGGAACCACTTTCCATGGTGCATCCAGCTGTGCCTAGACCAGCAGGTCTTTTTCCAGAAGTCCAGATGGCAGGGGAACCTCTTCACGTTGTTGACCCTTCTCCCTGTAATTTTTTCCCCAATAAACCTTTTCATTATGTTGCTGTATTTATACCCAAATACACATTACATTTATTTTAGTACCTTGTACATTTTGTTGCCCTTATAAATTGGAGGGGTTTTAAAAACTATTTTTTATTCTCAATATTCATTGATGATGTATAGGACTCCTTCTGGACTGTTTAATATATGACTGTAAATCCCCCTGAATTTTCTTAGATGTTTGTAGTATCTGATTATGACAGTTTTGTCTTTTATTTATTGCCTTGTTGCATTGATTAGGGCCTCTAATATAATGTTGCTTAATAATGAAGATAGATATCCTATCTTATTCTTGACTTTTGGTATAAATTCTTCTAAAGTTTGAGCATTAAACATGATGTTTGTTGTAGATTCTTAGTGGATACTCTTTAGCAGTTAAAGTAACTTCTCTTTTACTTCCAGTGACACTACTACCTAATTTGAAGAGAGGATTTGGAATTTTGAGTTTCAAAATAATACTGTTTTCAAACACTTTTTTAGCTAAAAAGTACACACACATAGGGCAGTGTTTTAAAGTTTAGCTACTTCAGGGCATATGTGTATACTCACTGAAGTTTTAATTTAATGGCTTATTGGTCATTCATGTATCTTCTTTGGTAAGGTAATTAAATTTTTTTCTTTTTTTTTAAAAGACAGAGTCTCGCTCTGTCGCCCAGGCTGGAGTGCAGTGGCACAATCTCAGCTCACTGCAACCTCCGCCTCCTGGGTTCAAGCGATTCCCCTGCCTCAGCCTCCCGAGTAGCTGGGATTACAGGCGCCCACCACCACGCCCAGCTAATTTTTGTATTTTTAGTAGAGACAGGGTTTCACCATGTTAGCCAGGCTGGTCTCGAACCCCTGACCTCGTGATCCACCCACCTCGGCCTCCCAAAGTGCTGAGATTACAGGTGTGAGCCACTGCACCTGGCCGTAATTAAATTCTTGACCCATTTAAAAAGTGCGTGTTTTCCTTTTTATTACTAAATTATAAGGATTCTTTATATATTTTGCATACTAGTCCTTTGTTAGATATTTACATTGCACATATATTCTCTCAGTCTGTTAACCATCTTTTCATTTTCTTAATGGTGTCTTTCAAAAAGAAGTTTTTAATTTTGATGAAGTCCAATTTTAATTTTTGTTATGATTGATAGTTTTTGTGTCCTAAGAAATCACTATCTACTCTAAAGTTGTGAAGATATTCTAAAAGTTAACATTTGTATTGTACAATATCAACTGTTAGTTGAGGATATGGAGCAACTGGAAGCTCATACATTAGTTGTGGGAATGTAAAATGGTATTAATACAATGTCTTTGGAAAAACAGTTCACTGGTGTCATGGAAAGCTAAGTATACTCTTGCCATACAATCTAGCAATTCCATTCCTACATATTTACCCAAGAAAAATGAAAACACATGAACACACAAAGATTTATACGATAATGTTCATAGCAACTTTATTCATAATAATAACCAAAAAATCAGAAACAACCCAATGTCCATTGGGGATAAACACATGGATAAACAACGTATCCATAAATGAAGTACAGGTGGTAAAAAGAAGCAAAGTATTGATATATGCAACAAATGAATAAGCTCAAAAACATTATGCTAAGCAAAAGAAGCCATACATATCATTTAATTTTTAAAAATTGTATATAACAGACAAATCTCATCTACAGTGACAGAAAACAGATCAATGTCACCGGCCGCTGGAACTCCTAGGGAGTACTCACTGCAAAGGAGCCCTTCTGGAGTGATGAAGGAGCCCTTCTGGAGTGATGAAGATGTTCTCTCTCGATTGTGGTGGTCGTGGCATGGGTACAGAACACTTGTCAAAAGGCATGGAATTACTCAAGATGGGAGCATTTTTACTGTATGTTAATTATAACTCAATAAAATTGATTTTTTAAAATTCTAAGTACATATATAAATACATTAATGTTTACAGAGCATTAAGAGAAGTGAAAAAGGTCGGGCGCAGTGGCTCACGCCTGTAATCCCAGCACTTTGGGAGGCCGAGGCGGGCGGATCACGAGGTCAGGAGATCGAGACCATCCTGGCTAACACGGTGAAACCCCGTCTCTACTAAAAATACAAAAAAACAATTAGCCGGGCGTGGTGGCGGGCACCTGTAGTCCCAGCTACTCGGGAGGCTGAGGCAGGAGAATGGTGTGAACCCGGGAGGCAGAAATTGCAGTGTGAGCCGAGATCGCGCCACTGCACTCCAGCCTGGGTGACAGAGCGAGACTCTGTCTCAAAAAAAAAAAAAAACAAAACAAAAGAGAGAAGTGAAAAAATAATTCCATGTTTGAGATTTGTTTTTTTTGTTTGTTTGTTTTCAGACGGAGTCTTGCTCTGTCACCCAGGCTGGAGTGCAGTGGCGCGATCTCGGCTCACTGCAATTTCTGCCTCCCGGGTTCACGCCATTCTCCTGCCTCAGCCTCCCGAGTAGCTGGGACTACAGGCGCCCGCCACCACGCCCGGCTAATTTTTTGTATTTTTAGTAGAGACGGGGTTTCACCGTGTTAGCCAGGATGGTCTCGATCTCCTGACCTCGTGATCCGCCTGCCTCGGCCTCCCAAAGTGCTGGGATTACAGGCGTGAGCCACCGCGCCCGGCCGAGATTTGTTTGTTTATAAAGTTACCTGAATTTGTTTTTTAAGTTTAGTAGAATTCTTTTATCAGGACCTGTTTTTAAGTTACCTATGTACCTCTCTAAATGGGATTACAGGCAGTAGCTCTCACACTTCAACATTTATGGTAACCACCTGGAGGATTTGTTAAAGCGGACTGCTAGACCCATCCTCAGAGTTTCTGATTCAACAGG